>NC_000005.10:118594655-118897685 GCF_000001405.40 Homo sapiens
TCAAAGCAAAATGAATGAGCCAGCAAAGAGGTCATTTGCACCTGTAAATAATTCTACATGGAATTGCCAATGTACAGTGATGGAAACACTGTCAGGGCAGAGGGGGACTCTATGCTGAAAACATACATGACAGGTATCCTTCCTCCCCACTCCAATTTTGGTGGCTGTTGGTCATCTAAACAGTACATTCCAACATGTTCTGCTCTCTGTGCCCTGGATTTTGTAGGATAATTCTTATTTTACATGGTGTAACAGTCCCCTTGCCAGAGTAGCGGAAGCTAGAAGGCCCTTGACATTCATTGGTCCTTAGAGCAACTGAAGGTCAGAAGCCTGCCCCTGGGTGGGTGTGACAATGAGAAACTCTCACCTTGGCCAGGGGAGGAGAGATAGTGGAGGGCATGACCAGGAGCCCCAGCTTCATGGCTTCTGAAGAGTGTAAACTAGGGTATGCACTGAAATACAGACCAACATGTGTCTTCACGCACACTGGCACGTCCCTGCACACTCTTGGGCAAATATTTTATTTGTCTTTCACAAGATAACTAACACACAATGCTACAAATTATAAAGTTTTTTTAAATAAATCAAATAATGATATGGTTCTCCCTTTTCTTCCTTTTGCAATATTCTCATGGTGATGTGTTTTAACTTATGCATGTTTATATACTTTACTTCATCTGTACATTTCTTTAAACATTTCTTACTGAAAACAAGCAAATTAGCCCATCAGTGGAACAAAAAACTGTGTTTAATCATTATACATATAAAAATGAATATTAATATATAGTGATAAAAATTTTATATTTATATTATATGTAAAAATATAGACATACAAAATATATACATAAATTAATGTATTCTTAAAAATCCAGTCAACATTGAATGCCCTGGCTTATTCAATAAAAAAAGTAATAGCTAAGGTGCCTAGATTTATTAGAAGCTGCATGAGAGTTACTCACATTGTTTCCTAAATACATATTGATCCTTACCTCTTCCAGCTCATACAAATGCATGGACACACGCCTACCCTGGAATTAAAGTGACCCCAAGATGGCCAGAGTGAGTACCATTGCTCATTTCTCTGGTGACTGTCAGAGAATGAAACAGCAGAGGGACAGAGCCTAAGGAGATTTGAATTGACTGGAAAAGATGAGTCTAAAAGCACTGGGTTCACCAAGATCAGGGGTGGGGACAGGAGGCAGAATGGAAGGCAGGGGCTTAGACCCAGGCTCCTCCTGGCAGGTAGAAAACTGACAGAAACCACAAGGCAGAGAGAAAAGAATGAAGGGTAGCCATGTTCCCTGTCTTCACACAGCCTCTCACAGTGGTGTGGCCTGGACACCACGTTTCCTTCTCCTTTCTCAGGCTGCCCTATTCTTGGTACTCTGATATATTTGGATATTTTCTGGCTGGTGAGACTGAGAGAAATTCGTCCTCTTCTCAATTTTGTTTTGTTTTGTTTTTCAACACAGTACTCAGAAAGTTCCCATTGGATCTATTCTGGTGCCTGAAACTTGGAAAATTTGACATGCCATGCTTATTGATTTGGAAATAGATATTGTGAAGGTAAGTGACAGTGATAAGCTAATATTTTCTACCTTGCACATAGCAGGTGCTAAGGAAATATTTACAGTCCTGGTGGGATGGGAGTTAGTTCTTGTATCATCAGAACATTCTGACATCAGTTCAATTACAATCTATGTGAAGCCAAGGAGGATCCTTTAGATCCTATATTAAATTTTTCAATAGAAATTCCACAGTCAGCAAATTTGCCTCCAACAAGAAAATGATTGTGTCACATTTGTTCAGTCATGTGGTAGCAGAGAACAATAACGTCTCTGTATACAACTTTGAAATGACCCCCCAGGAAACGCCAGTGCAATTGGAGGACTCAGACTTCAAATCGACACCGAATCCCTTTTAGAAAGAGGCAGTAAATCATATACAAAGTAAATAAAGAGAAATTTATCCAACATATAGCATTTGGAAAAGAAGTGGATCTTGGGAATTAGCCTAGGCTAAGGAATGATAATCACTCTATGATCACTAAAAATGTTTCTGGGGTTACACAATCAAGCAGTCACTGACAGACATGAAGTTTGGTGGCCCTTGGTATGATACAATAGCAAATGGCTAAGGTTGGAGATAATGACAATACAACCACAAGCACCTTTTGAGCACATGCTCTACACCAGGAACACACAGGATAATTTTCAATACATGTTAAACATGTATTAGATATGCAACTCGAGTTATTATTAACTTATTTAGTCCTCACAACAACTTTAAGAGCTAGATACCTTTTAAGGCACAGAGAGGTTAAGTAACACGGCCAAGGTCATACAGCTAATAAATGTCAGAGCCAGGACTCAAATCAATCTGGCTGTCTGATCCCAGAGGTATACCTTTATTCATTCTATGCTATCTTGGGGATGTGTGTTAATAGCAAACTTGCATTTAAATACAATTTAGCATGTATGATCCTGTTGATTCTTATAAAGCAATCCTTTCAGAGGATAAACTGTGAATAACTTTAAAGAAACTGCTTTTAAAAAAATCTTATTTCCTAGTCCTGTTTATTCTTCCCATGAGCACCATCTTCCAGAAGAGGAACATTGGAAATAACCATACATCAGACACCTGAAGCAATGGCCTCAGAATATACAGTATTAAGTAATCTCAAGGTGGGTTAGTACTCAAACGTTTAATGTTTCATCACCAGCAACTTTAGCCTCTATATAACCCTCCTTGGAAGAAATACAAACATTTATTCTCCTGAAAGTATAAAGTATTACATTTAACATGTATTGAATATAGCCCCATTTTATTCTGCATTCCTTTCATCTGCAACAATCAACTGGAAGTATAAAATGCATGTGCTCACTAGGGAACTGAAGAAAATTAATTCCCAGCAAATTTTGTCAATGACTGTCACTCACTTTCTTGCTTAAAGGATTGTTCTGTTGCTGCACAGACATATCATTAAGTGTTGCTGTGAAAGAAGATAGATAACACATTTCTATTTTGCAGGACTCAAGTCTAAAGGGAAATCAGATCTTGCTTAGTATTGTCATAGTTGCATAATTGCCCTTAAAATCCAGCTGTGAGTCGTGTTCCTACACATAGTTACGTGTGACCCAAGTCTTTTCTGAGCTGAGTACATGAATACCCTCTTCTCTGGCTCAATTATGTGACAGCTGCTCACAGGCTCTGTCGTTGTAACCACTTCAGTTCATTTGTTTCACAGAAAGCACAATATCTTTGATCAGACTAAATCACTCCTAGAAATATTCTCCTTGAGGGCAGGAAATCTAGAGTTTACTTTATGGATCTTAGGATGTTATGTAAATACTATACACTCAATAACTAACGACTGAATGAATAAATTGTTTAACTCTACTACCCGTGGGTTGATAATCTATCATTTCTTTCTAAAAGTCCATGGCACTGCAGCAAATTTGTGTTATGCTTCAGTGCATCCCTATATTTTTCTTGCCCAGTGATGCTTTGCTAAGCATAAGACAAGGGGCACAAAGTGCTTCATTTCAGTCTGCCATATGACAGGCGCTTAAAAATATTATCCAGGAGTAGATGAGCAAAGACAGTCATCTAATTATATGATTTGTTTTATAATGACCACTCTAAGTCCTCTGTTCCAGCTAGCCCTCAAGATGTGAATTCAACTTTCATTCAAGTCTAACTCTCCCAGATTGACCAGGCAAGAATAAAAATATCACAAAGGAACTAAATCCTCAGCTATGACGGACAGTCTTGGCTACCAAATTCAGGAAATAAATTTTGACTGCAAATGTTTCAAGGTACCCAAGAGAGAGTCTGCTGAGGCAGACGGGACACCATGGGAGGGAAGAGTAGTCATAAAGGAAAGGCACTTGGCACATAAGAAACAGATGGGCCCGGACATTCTCTACCTTCAATTTTTGTTCAGCTGAACACAGAGAATTTTGTAGTGTCATCCTAATCACAGTAAATCCAGAGCTTGTGAACATCACAAAGGATACATTAAACTGTTTAGCTGTTTCATTAAAAATAAGGGGTTGCACTCAATAAAACACCCCAGAAAACGGCAATGATTTTGATTTAATCTAAAAGGTTGTTGTCATGGTGCATACCCAATTATTAATTAATTATCTACAAACAAATCCAGAATTACTATCATTATCCCAAACACCTATTACATTGTAACTACAAACTCAAACACAAATTTGGTCACGAAAATCTGCATAAATACCGAATACGCACTTCAGGAATTCAGTCTCAGAAATTTTATTCTAAAAGTCTGAACATCACATATATTTCTGGGAGATTAAATTTCATATATCAATAAATTATTGAGGCACAATCTCTACCTTTCCCAGAATTCAGAATAAAATGAAAGCAGAAGAAAACTTTTGACTATACAATTTCAGGCCCTGCTCTACCCAACAGAAGTACCACATTCATTCAGGAAATGCAAAAGGAAATGGTTTGATATTAACCCATCAAGCAAGCTTCAAGTAATCCATCTGGACATCAATACATTACTTGCCTACAACAGGCACACCATTCTGAGTTTTTGGTTTAAGTGTATTCACCATAATGAATAGGGAAAATGTCAACAATCTGAGGAGTCTCCTTTTTCTCTTCCCATGTCTATAAGAATTAGGGGAAATCACCTGAGACAGGAATTCTATCTGAGTCTGAACTCTTAAGGGTGGATCCATAGAGGAACATTGATCCCAGTATTTGACTGAGGGTAGCAGCAACTCACCTAACAATGCCGTCAGCAAGAGGAAAGCTGAACAGTTAATTACCAGTCTGGCTTCTGAACCTAAGGGGAATCTTAATAGACAGAACTAATTAAAATCAATACTCATATGGTAGTTGTGAAAAGGAAAAAAGGCTCAAGATAAATTTTTAAATGGAGAAAAATGACCAATCTCAGTTCTTATGTCAACCTTGCTATCTGGCTCTCCAACAAATGTTTGCCCACAAGTCATCTTTCTGGGAAGGCCTAAGCACTTGAAGGAAAAGAGAGCGTATACAAAGAAGCCCACATAAAGTGTTTCCTGAGCCCTAGGTAGTGTGGTCAGAGACACTGCATTTGTGAAGACAGAGTCATGCTCACATTAAATATTCTGATGCCAGAAAGTGAGAAAATTTGGTTTTAATTCTGACTATGTGACCTTGAGAAATTTAATCTCTCTAGGCCCCAGTTTTTTATCTGTAACATTAAAAAAAAATGATCTCTAAGATTCCTTCAGTTGTGTGATACCATATACTGTATCTCAGAGATGCAGATGGGAGCCAAGAATATATAAATTCAAATATATAAGTGCAAATAATAGGCATCACATTAAAAATATAATGTTTATATTTCTGATTTTCCTTTAAAACAGAAAGAGTGTGTCATATCATGTTCTTCATTCATAGCTTCCCATACTAATGCATAACCTCCAAGAGATATGTGGGGTTTTTTTTTTTCATTTCAAAATATCTTTTGCAAAGTGATAAATGAAAGCATAAAATCATGCCCAAACTTGATTATCACACTGTATTCTGGATTTTCTTCAGATGTTGTAGTAATGTTCATTAAGGGCAGATTCTGGTAGAAGACAAATCTTCTCAATTTAGGCAAAATTGTCCCAGCACAAGATTCCAATGTGACTGAAATAACATTTGAATTTTTTTTTAACTTAATAATGTGTACTGATGCCAGCCAAGGACAGTTCTCCATGACCATATAACAGGATGATAAGAAATGAAATTGATGCATGCATGGTAGCTACGGGTGGCGGGGGGTGGGGAAGAAAGGTTTGTTTGTTGTTTGTTTTTAATGTATTACTCAGTTTTAAACTGTTAAATTTTTTACTTAAAAAATACTCATGGGGGGTCGGGCATGATTGCTCATGCCTGTAATCCCAGCACTTTGGGAGGCTGAGGCAGGTGGATCACAAGGTCAAGAGACTGAGACCACCCCGTCCAACATGGTGAAACCCCATCTCTACTAAAAATACAAAAATTAGCTGAGTGTGGTGGTGGATGCCTGTAGTCCCATCTACTCGGGAGGCTGAGGCAGGAAAATCGCTTGAACCTGGAGGCAGAGGTTGCAGTGAGCTGAGATTGTGCCACTGCATTCCAGCCTGGTGACAGAGCAAGACTCCATCTCAAAAAAAAAAAAAAATACTCTTGGTAAAATATTCAAATAGTACTAAAAGAAACACAGTGAACAGTTAAGTCTTCTTCCAACTTCTGTCCCCTAAAATCCTCTCCCAGGGGCAGCAGGTAACATTAGTTTCTCATGTAGCCTTTCAGGGGTACATTACGCATATACAAATGATGCATATATAGGGACTCTCTCTTTTTAAAACACAAATTTAGCATACTTTACACATTGTTCTGCATATTCTTTTTCAACTTTAACATATATCACAGATAGTGTGACTTATCATTACATGCCTCATTATTTTAAAGGCATGTATTTAATTTTATGGATAGACATACTTTACATAATCAGTTCCATACTGATGGGCATTTAAGTTGTCTCCAATCTTTTGCTATTACAAGCACTCATTAAATAAATATCCTGGGACATACTTCTCTGTGCATTTGTGAATGTATCTGTGGGATACATCACAAAGATAGAATTGCTGGGCTATGCGTGTGTGCATTTGTAATATTAAGAGATACGGCAAAATGTCTTGTGGAAAAATTATATCAACTTACATTCTCAAAACTGAAGGATAAGTTTGCTGTTTCCCACATCTCTACCAATAGGGTCTAGTATCTTTCTCAAAATCTTTTACCTATGTGGGGGATAAAAAAAGTAATCTCTTGTCATTGTTTTATTTTGAAATACAGTTATTATGAGAATAGTTGTCCATCTCTTCATGTGTTTCATATCACTGTTAAAGTTAACAGTGATGGCCATAAGATTATGTCTTGCAGACCTCCAACTACAAGGGGCACAACTGACCAAGAGTCCTAGTTGCTGTCCTCTGCTCCCTGCCCATTACTGAGCATGGCAGAGATATTAGGCAGGCCCATTCCTGAGAGACACAAGACTCCTCAGAGGGTTACATTGGCTCAAGGGTCCTCAACAACCTCGCAGAAGTTTCCTTAGACTGTACCCTTGGTCTGAAATGCTTTTACTCAATGTTCCTTCCCTCTCTCTTTCACTTAGGGTCAGATTTGCATCGTGGTCTAAGAACCTTCCCAGCCTTTAACAGATTCCTCCCCATTTCCTCTCAATTCCCCTTGCACATTTAATCCCCTATTGGCATCTATTTCTCACTAGACCCAGACTAACAACACATTAGCTGTTCTTTGCTCATCATTTTATTGTCCCATTGCATGTTTCCTTGTTGATTTATAGGCATTCCTAATATAATAATGATTGGGACCTTTTCTGTCACATGTGTTGCAATTATCTTTCCTTAGTCGGTTTAAATCTTTGGCTTACTTTGTGATGTCCTTCCCATTTAGAAACATCTCTAGAATTTCTAGGTGATGCATGGGAATCTCTGTATAAGATGTGGGTATAACTCTTCTCGATCTGGAGATCTAGACAGTAAGTTGTAGGCCCAACTCACACCAATATACAAAAGTGAAATATGAGGAAGTGTGGGAGACCCACAGCAGTCACTGGCCTGCAGCCATCCTAAAATTCCTCTGAGTGGGCACAGCAAAGGTCCTCCACCCCAGGGGTGGAGAATGCTCCTTAAATAGGCTGCAGTTTTGCTGTATGGGAGAAGCTCTCCAAACATCACTGTCCATAGCCCTTGACTCCCACCCTCTAGACACTTTTTTTTTCTTTTCTATTGTCTTTAATACAGATCTCTAATACAGATGTTGAAGAACATGCCCTCAATGAAGGCTGAGAAACTTTATTGATCTACTTCTGACCAAAAGTCATTTTAGGTCTTCAATAGTCGATTTCTCTTAGTTCAGGCTACTGGGTCTTATGACAATACAACTCTCCTGAAAACTTAACTTTGTGGCTATTTGAGGCCTGTAGCCTCCTTGTGCCAGCAGCTATGCTCATGGTTCTCTCCTAGATACACTTAGATTTGCTGTATTTCTTTGCTTTCCCATCCCCATGCCTCCACTTCATTTTCTCCGCCTCTCTCTCTCTCACTGTCCCCCCACTCTCTCTCTCTGCATATATATATATATATATACACACACATATGTATTTATATGTGTATGTGTGTGTATGTGTGTGTGTCTATATATGTGTGTATATATATAGACACACACACATACACACACACACACACACACACACACATATATATATATATACATATACAGATATGTATTCTGACTTGCACATACCTTAGGTCTATCTGGCTAGAGAGTGAGAGCCATAACTTTAGCTTTCACTCCTCCATGCCATTTTACCTTATCGAAAGGATTTTGGGGGTATTGCCTCATCAGTTGGACCCTTATTCCAAGACATCTTAATCCATCCAAAGCTTTTAACAATGTATGACAACCATACTCTTGATTTGCTATTTGCCATGAGGATGGGTTTATTCAGCCTTCGTTGTCCAATTTTCTCTTTTACAAGTTGAGTTTGAGAAGCAGTAGTCTCTTCCAAACCCACAAGTCTCTCCAAATTTCTGGACTCCCTCTCTTCCCTTGTACTCCTGCTTGCACTGACCAGTTTTTTCCTGAGCTTGCCGTGAATAATCAATAGCAACCAACACATGCTACTAAGATTCTTTTTTCAACCTCTTTTCATAAGGTTACAAATGATAAATGATTTGCCTTCAAAATCATTAGGTAAATGATTTGCCTTCAAAGCTATTCCAACCAACATTCTTACCAAATGTTTTGCCACTGTATAATATGAATCACCATCATTCTAGCCTCTGACAAGTTTATTTGCCACCTTCTATTAAGCAGCTAGGCCAATGCTACCTATTTCATAGTTTTGTTATGCCGACTCCCTCTTCTTAGGTCCTAATTTCTGTGTTTGATGGGATAAATTAGGTTACGCTATGGGAACAAACTCTCAATGTTAATAAAAGTTGATTTCCTAGCTGACATGAAATATCAATGCAGGTTGGCAGAGGGACTCTGCTCATCATTTTCACTCAGGGATAAACCTGACAGGGCTACATCTTAGCAGGTACTTCTACAATTACAGTAGAAAGAAGGAAATGTGGAGAACCACTAACTGGCACTGGCTCTTTACATTTCTGCCTGGAAGTGGCACATATCAGGTCCACTCATGAATTTTTAGCCAAGTAGGTTACAAGGCCAAGATTAACTTCAGGAGTAGAGGGAGTATTATTATCTGTTTTCACATCATTGTCTATTTTCACAGGCAAGGAGGGCTAGAAATACTCAGTGAACAATCAATAATGACCACCACAGTTACTGTGCCTTTCCATTCACCCTCCTCCCCTCCTTTCCTCCGCCTATTCTCCCTTCTCCTTCCCCTTCCTTATGCTCCTCTTTTTCCCTCAGCTATCTCTCTAAAGGTCTTGAGTTGACTTTAATAAAACTTTTAACATCTTTTTCTATCCCAGCCTCAAGTTCCCTCATATACTAATCACCAATATAAACAGGCTTGCAATTCACATGTACTAAAGCGAAAATTCCTGGAGTTGCGTAAAAAGTATCAGAAACAAATGTGAATAGGCTCCAATTTTACTTAAAGAAAACCTGCAACTTGGCAGTTTGTTCAGATTCCTGGAGAGAAAGAATTCATTATTATCCACTGGGTCTGTTGTATGAGCCAAGAGTGAGGATGCTTCTTCCTTACACAAAATTCATATCCTGACCCTACATGAAAGTCAGGGTTGTTGGGGCTATTCTGACAAACCCAAAGCTATGAATTAAGACACTTTTACTGACATGTCGACCCAGGTATCCACACAAATGAATACTCCTATGAGCTAATCACAAGCTCATAGGGGGCTTTTAGTTATCACTTCCAGCCAAAGACAGTTACAGCTCAGTGTAAACTAACTGGGCCTGGCAGAAATGCTATCTTGCTCAAAAACGTACCACTATTCCAGATGATCTGTTTGACCCTCTGTTAAAAAAAAAAAAAAAAAAAATTTACTTAACTTTGGGAAAAGTGGTTTAAGTGGTCTCATAAACTTTCTTCTTAAAAATTTACCCAAAGAAATCCTATTAAAGTATTCCCTTTAAATTCTTAGGGACTGGGGAACCTTGCAATCAAATTCATTTGTATCCAGCAAGACATCAGCTTCTTGTGGTAGAGCCCATGGCTTATTTTGTAATGCAATGTTATGGAATAATTGTTTTAGGTCTTTTAGAACAAGACCACCACCAAATATGAAGATAAATAACTCAGGTGCTAGTCTTGGTTGTTCCATTTTTGGGAGGTGAACTTTTCTAAGATAGGATTTCCTCAACTGCAGAGTATATTGGCTGAACTGGGTTATGGGTAGAGTGCATCCTAAGTTAATTTTCTGTGACTGTTTTCCCCTAGGGCCATCAGAACCCACAGATTTAACATTTCTACCAATCTTACTCCAAATTGTTCCAATACGATATCAAAGTTGAAGCATTTGAACATTCTTTCAATTAGTCAAAATAAACTCCCTAAAAGGTTATTTAAACACTATTTAATAAAAAAAAATCATCATCATGACAACTCTCCTTCATGTCCTCCCCATCACTTCTACCCTACTCCACCACTGAGCCAACTTAGTACTGGACTTGCAAACTAATCTGGCCTTACTTAAGCACTTTTGAATTTTATTAATTTTTAAACATTTTAAAAATTATTATTATTATAATATTATTATTATTATGGAGACAGAGTCTCACTCTGTCACCCAGGCTAGAGTGCCATGGCACAATCACAGCTCACTGCAGCCTCAACCTCCTGGGCGCAAGCAATCTGCTCACCTCAGCCTCCTCAGTAGCGGGGACCACAGGTACGTGCCACCACGCCGGGATAATTTTTTTTTTTTTTTTTTTTTTTTTGTAGAGAGGAGGTCTCTCTGTGTTACCCAGGCTGGTTTCAAACTCCTGGCCTCAAGTGATCCTCCTGTGTCCGTTTCCCAAAGTGCTGGGATTATAGGTGTGAGCCACCACACCCAGCCAAGTTATGAATTGTAAAATCATCTTCCTCAATCCCCCACTTCTGGGCTGCCATGCAGAATGTGAGCAAGAAATGTGAAGGCTTATTTCCTAAGATGAATGCTGAAAATTTTTTCAAAGTGATCGTGGGTGGCTTGGACCGCCTCAGCTTCGAAACCCACTTTTTCCTGTTTTCACACTTGACTTTGTGTGTCACTGACCAGCAGGTATGAGAACTGAGGTTCCTTCAGCTGTGCCAAGTGCAGCCTCTTGTTCCTCCTAGCTCTACTCCAGTCCCCTATCAGTAAAGCTTTGCTTCAGATGAAGTCCTTCACTTACCAAAATTAACTGCTGCTGTGTCCAAATCTAGGTAGGAAAAAATTCACCTTTCTTTTTTCCTGCAGCAATCTTGCACTCTGAAATATCACTACTTCAGAAATAGACCCTCTCCAGTTCTAAACTGTTAGTCCTTACCTCTTCTACCTTAAACAAGATGTTTTAAAATAAAATATTTTACTTATAAAAATCCCTTTATAACTTTTTCTGATTTTTAAAAATGAAACCTATCAATTTTGTCTAGATTTTCCTAGAAAAATAATCATAGTTACACAGCTGGTATTTAAACTTCTATAAACCCTTACGTATATATTTCATTGTATATATTTAAAACATTGTATATATTTAAGACACAACAACAAAGCACTTAAGAACATAGCTATTTTCTCTGAGATATTCGACCTATTATTTGGATATACAACTATCAGAAAGAGGAGGAGTGCATGGTTATGACATCAACATTGGATATTCAGTTCTCCCGTAAATGTGGTGAATTCAACAGAAGAAAAAAAAGGAAGGAGAGAAGAAGGGATACCTTTACCTTACTAACTCTTTTCACTTAAAAAAATAAAGCCTCAATATTAAGATCACTAAAATTTATTTTAAAAAGTATTCCTAATCTCTTTATACTGTGTTTTAAAGACATTCAGTTAGAAAGAGATTTAAATAAATACAAATATCTGCACTACTATTAGTTTTATTTGTTATTAAGTGTCAACAGCTCAAACACTGCTTCTCACCCTGGGATTCTACCCCAGGTTTGGACAGACTCCTCTTTTAACTTGCCCTGAATTAACCTGGAGACCAAAGTTTGCCTGGGTGTCTTCACACTTCTAGTTCCTCTAGAGTTGCTTTATATGAAAAGCCCTTACAAACTGCTTTCATAATGTCAAATCATCCTTCTCCCAGTTTTTTTTTTTTCATTTAAAAAAGAGACCTAGCTAATTTAAAATTAGTCCTAAATAATGTATTTAATTTCTTCATATAGAAGGAGAGCCTAGGCATCCTTTCTGCTATCAGCACTCACCAGAGTGAGCATGTGTGAGCTCGCCCTGTGGGTGGCACCTGAGCTGCAATGAGTGCTCCAGCGTGCCTGACTCTGAGGCCCGAGCCCGTGCTGCACGTGTGGTACCCATGTTCTGGACAGCTTGCCCATCAACACCAGGCCTGACATCCTTTCTGTGGGAAACAGACACATAGAGCCAAATAGCATGTCTCGGTAGTCAGTCATTAACATGAAATCTCATGATCGCCATTTTATAAATACAAGACAGTCATTTCTACTTCTTTTTATCTTATTTGTAGCTTCAGCCTGTTCTTTTTCTGATTTAGATTGAGTAGGTCCTGTAAACAAAAGATTAGATACACAACTGATGTCTGAAAGAGTTTAGAATTATAAAAACAAGCTTTCTAAAACTTACCATTTAAAAATACATTGCATCATGAATTAGAAATCTCTAAACAATGATACAATGATCTCATCACCAAACAGGGATTTCCTGAGCCTTCCTGGCTAACTCGGATGTTACTGAGAA
Source organism: Homo sapiens (assembly GCF_000001405.40). Taxonomy (NCBI): domain Eukaryota; kingdom Metazoa; phylum Chordata; class Mammalia; order Primates; family Hominidae; genus Homo; species Homo sapiens. The sequence continues at coordinate 118,607,591 of NC_000005.10, forward strand.
ATACTTCTTCCTTTCTCCTTATATTTCCCTCCTGTGAAGCATGCTAATCAGTGTAATCCCAGATCACTTGTCCCAGTCTCACACTACTCCTAGGGACCAGGTAAAATGGGGGCAGTAGAAGGATGCAAGACTCAGCCCCCTTCCTTCTTCTGTACAACTAGCTTTATCTGAGGAAAGCATATGTTTGGCATAAGTTGTGTAGGGGGAGGCCTACCTCACTCTAATGCTAACTGGATTTGAACGGTTATGTCTGCCTAATTCTGGAGTTCAATATTAACCTGACCATTTCAATAACAGACTTTATATTTGATATTTTGGTATCTACATTTTCTCTGGTTTTTTGCCAACTTATCCAAAACCTAGAAAGGCAAGAGGGTTTGTTATGTTTTTAATGGGGGCACCAAACTTATGTGATACAGCATATACTTAGGAATTTAAAAGGTTCCCCCTTTAAATAATACAAGTTTAAAAAACATGTATTATTAGGCTTGAAGACTTTGTGGATAACTGGAAATAAATGTGCATTGTTATATTCTGATGACTAGAAGCACTCATCTGCAAGGAAATTGTCAGTAAATTATGAATTGTGTTATATACATAATTCAGCATTAGAATGTTGGAAACGCAATCACACTATACAGATGATTCACACCTAAACCATGGTGCATTGAAGAAAACTAGTGTGCAAAAGAACTGATTTAAAATACATTGTCCTTTCTCATAAAAATAACGTTAGGGTTCAATTTGTAATCCCAACGTGAAAGACAATATCAGATAAATCAGAGCCCTGATCAGTAAATATCTATTCAAATAATTCAAAAGAAATAGGTTAAAAAGATCCTTTGGAACTACTCACCCCAAGTATATTCTATGAAACATGAATCTATAAGATGTTTCATTCAATATAAAAAGTTTCCTTGATCAATGAAGCTTAGGGAATAAATTATGCTATTATCTCTCCTCCCGAAGCTTTACAATGTAGACTAACATATTAAAGGCTCTGTGAAGCCCAGCATAATTTGTTTTAACCCAGCATTCATCAAACACGTCTAATTGCAGAACATTATTTTCAAGTAGCATCAATTAATTCCCATGGAACACACTCTGGGAAATGTTATAATAGCAAGTATTATTAAGATGTAACACCCAGGCTGGGCGCAGTGGCTCACGCCTGTAATCCCAGCACTTTGGGAGGCCGAGGCAGGTGGATCACGAGGTCAGGAGATCGAGACCATCCTGGCTAACACGGTGAAATCCCATCTCTACTAAAAATACAAAAAACTAGCCGGGCATGGTGGCGGGTGCCTATAGTCCCAGCTACTCGGGAGGCTGAGGCAGGAGAATGTCGTGAACCCGGAAGGCGGAGCTTGCAGTGAGTCCAGATCGCGCCACTGCACTCCAGCCTGGGCAACAGAGCGAGACTCCATCTCAAAAACAAAAAAAAAAAAAAAAAAAAGATGTAACACCCAAATTCCATAAGGAACACTGATAGATAGCATATTGCCCCAGTTCTTGCACTCTTGGTGTTATCTGAAATGCAGGGGTAGGACTCACACTCCACAGAGTTTCATCAATGAATTTAAGTAGCAGCAAAATTTATATAATGCATATATCAAACATTACATTATGAGACTGCATAAAGACTGAGACTTGAGACTATCTGGGCACTTTACATGTATAAAATCCATTCACCTCACCAGCAATCACTGAGGTGGGGACACTGGAACGAACTTGACTCTGTCTTCCAAGGACCTTCATTGCATTCCTTGAGTTAGAATTAGCCAAGGATTTTCTCTCAGCTTTTTCCCAAGAAGGCCATCAACTTTCCTTCCTGCTACTACCACACCTGCCTTTCTAGTTGCCCAGATTGTAATGTCTCAGCTTCCCACCATCTGGATAATGACAGGCCATATAGAAGTTGTTAGTTGTCCACCTAACTCTCTACTGCAGTGGGAATTTCTTTAAATTCCATCTGCGGTTATCTATTCTGAGAGTCATGGTTCCCAAACTGTTTGCCAAGGTGTTCTCGGATACTACAGTAATCTCACAGGTAACTTATGTATATTATTTTTTCATAAAGCTGTTAAGTTGTTAGGTATAAATACTTAAATTGTTTGGAGCTATGTACTTAATAAACACAACTGCTAGGTTTTTCTTTTGGCCTAGGCGTGACTGTGAAAAATATACTGAATCACTAAGGGCACTAAGTTTCTGAAAGTGAGAAAGTTTGAAACCATCTGCCTCAGAGGTTTACAGAAAAGAAAATATCTAAGAGATTTCAGCCTAGGTAAGGAAACATTCATCCACAGATTTATCTCCCCCTTTTGTTAAAAAAAAAAGAAAACTAAAACTACCATAACAATGTTAAAAATCTAAAAAGTTAGTATTATATATGAAAAGATAACTCTCTACTGATATACTGAAACCAAAAAAATAACAAAGAAAGAGCTTTCTAAGTGTATAAAAACTTTATCTCTATGTCAGAGAAAATAATTCAATGCATTCTCCATTTTGAGTCTGAGGAATAAATAAGCCAACGAGAGATAAATACTCACTTTTAATGTTTTCAAGGAGAGAAACCAGTGAAAAGATGGTTCAACTCTGATGCACAGAAGCTGGATGGGTCACAATTGCTACAACTGGCATGATACCTATCTCCTGAAACCTGTTCTTTCTCCTTGGTTCTCTTCAAGGTCACAGTACCCTGCCACTCAGGCAGCTATAAGAATAGTCCCCAAGGAGTGTTAACATCTTTTAACTCTAAGCCACATTCCTCCCTAAAGAAAGTGTGCCTGAATTTGTGAAAGTCTGCATCCTGGAGCCAAGTACAGGAAACCAAGAAGCTAAGAAAATATTCCTGCCACTATTTCTATCTTTAATGCATAGCTTTCCATTCTTCTTTAAGTTCTCAGGGTTAAGGAGCTCAAATAATGTAAGGAGAACAAAAATGAACAATAAATTATTGAGTTTAGTCTGCAAATCCACCCAAGGCATGAAGATTTCCAGAACCCTGCCTAATGTCACCAGAGGATAAGAATCTTAATTACTTACTCCAGCAGTCATCATCTTCTTTCCATTCTCCAGCCTATTGTTTTTCTTCCCTTGATCAACTAGTCACATCCATCATCAAAGCCTGCTCCAATGACCTCTCTCTCCTTTTATCAGCACTCATGCCTATCAATCTGCAAATACTAGCACTACATTACCAGCTCGCTTCAAAGATTTCACCATGATCTTCTATAGGCATTCACAATCATCCATTTGAGTTCCAAATCTTAGAGAAACTATTAGAAATTTTATGTATCATCTTGTAACCCAACCCCTTGATTCTTCAGATGATGGAAATGGGTAACATTAAATGACTTGCCTGGGTTCACATAGGCTCACACAGATTTGGGGAAATATAAGTGTAGAATGTATAGAATCTACCTCTTCTATCTTGCTATAGGACATACTTTTTTCGTAGAGATGAGGTCTCCTTATGTTGCCCAGGCTGGTCTCAAACTCCTGGGTTCAAGCAGTCCTCCTCCCTCCTGCCTCCTAATCCCAAGTGCTAGGGTTACAGGCATGAGCCACCATGTCCAGCCACTATACTTTTATTAAGTCTCTAAAATAAGCCCAAATATACACTGAATATTAATGCATTGTAGGGATCATTTATTGCTGCCACAGCACAGGGGGTTTTAAGAGGGTTCAATTCAGCTCCACGATAACACCGTCCCATTCAACTGATTGATCGGCGCCCCGCTACCATCTTCTGGTCTTGCAGATATGCTGGAGTGTTGTGATACGAGGATGGACGTTCACATGGAGTAAGTCAGTCACTGTACTGGACAGGTATGTCCCCTGATGGAAGGACACTACTCTAGCTGCCATTAATAAAATCTTTCCTGTATGTCCATAGGAAGGAGAGTTAATCTAGTCTTTTTGGGCAGATGTGGACAGGGCACCCTCTGGTGACAGCTGACCAATATTGCAGGTCAATACAAGAACCACAAAGATTCTGGGTGCTGAAACAATGACACTACTCTTCATAGTCTATTCTTGATGGACCTTTGTTTCCATGATAGAAATCTTCTCATCAGGAATTTTTCTTTACAAAAGTGCCTATGATCCCATTGTCCCAGAAGCACCAACCCCCAACTTTCTCTCGGGGCTGTGCTGTTAGGAAGCATGACCCAAACCCATTCTTTTCCTAGGACCCATGGTCTCTCTCGCCAATTTAGAGGATCTTTCAGACACAGGGAAAATTTCTTCTCTATGTTTATCAAAAACAATTTTTCTGTGCCTATAAATTCCCTTTTCTTTAGTACATAAAAGGTGCCTTGAAAAGTGTCTGATACACAGTAAGCACTCAACAAGCGAGCGGTTATTATTCTTTCTCTGTAGTCTTTTATAATAGGCCTTGATAGTGCAAGGCCTTGATTACTACCAGATCTAGAGCCAATCAAAAACTAATAATATCTGATGTTAATTAAATATTTAGTATATGCATACATTGGTTTAGTTGCTTTATATGTATTAACTCACTTAATACCCACATCTATCAGAGGTAGGTGTAACTTTTATTCCCCTTTTATAGATTATAAAATTGTAGCACAGAAAAAATAATTTTCCCAAAGCCACACAGCTAATCAGTGCTAGAGAGGGGATTTGAACCTGTGTGGTTTATCTCCAGGGCTCATGCCCTTAATTATCACACGAAACAAACTTTCTAAATCTCCCTTTCCTTGAAAGCAGAAAGAACTTGTACTTTAGACCCTCAGTGAAGCAAAGAATGGAGTTAAGCTTATATTAAAACTATGTTCCTATTAGTCCACACATTAATGATGAGGGGCCCCAAAGTATTGCAGCATATAAAATATGCAATTCTACTTTATAATAATTTTGAAAATTCTAAATAAAAATTTTTGGTTATAATAAACATTAATCCAACAGTTGATTAACAATACTTTGTATTGCCTTTTAGGATTCATAGTGTTACAGAAACCAAATTTTCACAATGTTTTAAATGCACATTTATTATTTAAAAAATATTTTTACACTAAGTACATTGTTATATGTGGTTTTGTCCAAACCCTTTAACTTTTCCACTTTCCCTGAAAGAAAAGTTAGATGTGAAATCATTTCCCAGTGCATATTTATCAGAAAGTTTTATGCCTAAATGATATAATCCAATATCTAGAGTCATTACTTTGAGAAAAATATTGATTTTAACTGTAAATGCCTAGCATTAAAAACATTAATAAGGGTTTAAAATTTATTCATTTGACTATCATGATCTGATTAACCACAGCTCTAAAAAACACTTAATTGTATGTTTCTGGGTTTTGGGGTTTTTTTTTGGTTTTTGTTTTTTTTTTTTTTTTTTGAGACAGAGTCTCACTCTGTTGCCCAGGCTGGAGTGCAGTGGCATGATCTCAGCTAACTGCAACCTCTACCTCCCAGGTTCAAGCAATTTTCCTGCCTCAGCCTCCCGAGTAGCTAGGATTACAGGTGCCCACCACCACTCTCAGCTAATTTTTTGTATTTTTAGTAGAGATAGGGTTTCACTATGTTGGCCAGGCTGGTCTCGAACTCCTGACCTCAAGTGATCCACCAGCCTTGGCCTCCCAAAGTGCTGGGATTACAGGCCTGAGCCACCACGTCTGGACTTAATCATATGTATTTTAACTCATGGCACCTAATTCTGCTATTAGATTTAAAGACATGTCTATAATGCAAAAATATCAGCCTAGATACATGTGCACTAGCCCCTACTGACATTTTCAACTGGCAAGTTGTCAAAATAAGGCCCTTCCAAGGATTCAGAGTCCCATCAAGCATATGTGCATCAAGCATCAATGCCACAGCAGGCATTAGGATCATGTATCTGGGTTCTCCTGGTATTTTAGATGCTCAACAGGCCACACCAATGCAACATAACCTAAATTTCACGTGCCCTCTCCTCCCAAATCTCCTCAACCTCCATCTGCTCTGTTATCATTAGCTCTGATGGCCATGGTAGAAACCTGTCAGATATGCTTCCCCTTCCCATCACTGGGTACCTAGCTTAACGAGGTAGAACTCACAAGTCACCAGTTCCTAAGGGTTATTTTTCCCTAAGAGCCCCCAAACTCAGCTTCCCTTGTCCTGATCTACCTTTGCTCAGATACTTGTAATTTCTACATGAATTTCTACAGCAAAGACCTCCCTGAGTTCGGGCTTATACTAATTGGTATATACACAGAATATTTTTGTTGTTGTTGTTGAGACGGAGTCTTGCTCTGTCGCCAGGCTGGACTGGAGTGCCACGATCTTGGCTCGCTGCAACCTCCACCTCCCAGGTTCAAGCGATTCTCATGCCTCAGCCTCCCAAGTAGCTGGGACTACAGGTGCCTGCCACCACACCCAGCTAATTTTTGTATTTTTAGTAGAGATGGGGTCTCACCATGTTGGCCAGGATGGTCTTGATCTCTTGACCTCGTGATCGGCCCACCTCGGCCTCCCAAAGTGCTGGGGATTACAGGCGAATGATATTTCTTTTTGTGGAAAATATTATGAAACTAACAGTTGCACAGTATTGAAAACACCTGTGTAACACAGAAGACATGTGAGGAAAAGTGAGTCTCCAACTCACCACACTTCAGCCCGCTTACTAGAGGCCATTACTTCTGTATCCATGAGAAAGTTCACACATGTTTTCTTTCTCTTTTAATACAGATGCAAACAAAATGTTGAACTTGGCCTTTCTGGTCTTCACCTCTCTTGGGACTGCTCAGGTAAGTGCAGGGCCAATGATCAGAACAGCCACTCCTTCAAAATGCACTTATGGTGCCCCTTGCCACTGGTCAACGATCTTACAAAAGTCAACTTCCTCCTGGACATGAAACAGCTTTAACTGAAGTGGTGAAAACGGCCTCCTTCCTTAGGTTTAAGAAGAGAGCACATAGAGGTGGAAGGTTTTTTCCTGGAGAGGCAATTTAGCTTATGGATTAAGTACACAGACTCTAATTTGGACAATTCAGGTTTGGTTCCTGGTTGTATCACTAATACACTTTGTGATCTTCAGCACAGACTAATGCAGGCAGAGGTTATAATCTCTTGTGTGCCTTTGTTTCTTGTCGGCACAGTAGGAATGATAACAATAGTATCTACTTCATAGAGTGGATATAATGATTTAAAGAGTTAATATTTGTTATTTGCTAATAACAACGCCTGGTGTATACTAAGTATTATTAAAACGTCTGTCATGTAAAATTTAAAGTAGTCTGCGAAATGCATTATATAAACACATACCCTGACTCAACGTGTTCCCACTCAGCTTTCTTACAACTCCTCCTCCACATCCTATCTTTGTAAGTAGTGGAACCACATGCAAAGATCACAAGTTACCAAATTAATCATTTCATGGTGTGGGTAAAATTTCAGTTTAAATCTTCAGTATTTGGATTTCAAATTAAGTGTATGATTAAGCATTAATGGTGTGTGATGATAGTTAACCTTAAAATGGGAAATATTTTTACAAAGAAATCTTTATTCCTTGTGAGCCAGTGAAAAATTATTTATTATGTATTAAATTTTTGCTGCTGCACAGCAACAGCAGATTGATGAGCTGTTACGGGCTGAATTATTCTCCAGGTTAAAGGTGACTTTTGGTTGTATTAATCACCTAGTGTAAAACTAAAGTAGACACGAGAGAGCCTTGCTTCTGACAACCCCCTGCACAGCCCTGCCCAGCCCAGCCCAGGCCAGCTTACTCGTTGTGAAAGCCGGTTCTTTTCTTGAAATGTTGGGTAAACCAAGGTCCCACTAAGATTGTCTTCCTTCATCCTGTACTGTCCATCAAGGTTCCTCATTTACACCGACTTTAAGTTTGAATCAAAAATTAGATTGAAGTTTAAAATGTCATTTTAAGCCAAAGAAAAGCCAACTTATCATTCTGAAAATTCCTCATGTAAAGAACGCTCCCCTCAGGAGCACAGCTCCACGCCACTGACCTGTTCTTTCTCTTCCTCCCCATCTCCTCCTCCACTTGACTCTCTTATGTGGTCACTTATCCACAGAAATTGCTATCACCCTCACATTTTAAGTAAATTACTATTCCAGTAAAAGTGCTAAATGCTGCCTAGGAAAACTGAAGCCTGTACTTCTCCTTGGTAATGAACTGTTTTCAAAGACAAACAATATTACTTATTTTCATTTATCCAGCACTATACCAGGCTCCGAGGATACAAAAGCGAATAAGATAGAAATGGTTTGTGCCTTGACAGAGTCTACATTCTTCTGAGAGGGACAGATAAAACAAGTTATCAGTCAACAAATATAATGCTCACAAATTATGATTCAATTAAATGATAAAATCAAATGGTGTTTAAAGAAGAATCTGTACTTCAGAGCAAGCATTCTCAACCTTGGTTACCACATTAGAATCACATGAGAAGCTTTCAATAATCCCAAGTCACATCCCAGCATGAATTATAAAATATTTGTGGGGTAGGATCAGGCACCACTTTTTAAACAACCACTTGGCTCCCAAGTGATTCTAAAATATAGCCAAGATTCAGTATCATCGTTCTACTCTTACAGAAAAATATTATAGAATTGCATACACCTAAGAGCAATCTGGTTCCTTTCTTGATTAAACTTAATTTATTATTAAATACTAGTAGGGTGACCTTAAGTGAGCTATTTAGACTATAATGCTTATGTGCCTATAAAAATGTAAACAACACACATGGAAGCTTTCTGGGGTGCAGTTTCTCATGGATGATTGTGTGTGATAAAACCAGTTATCTGAAGTTTCTCAGACATGTGTTCAGAGTCTTAACTAGCACTATTCAGAATGAACTACGGCCCATGGCCACCCATGCGATAGGTTACTAATATTCATTTTCATTTCAAGTCATTTCTCTTGGTTTCACATATAAGGACTACAGTGTACTGTGGTTAGCAGGGTAGAGGAAGCAGATAACTGATATGCCAAACTGATGTGCTGGAAGTAGTAAGAACACAACCCCTACCACAACTATGGGAGCCCAACCTTGGATGCCTATCAGACAATTATTACATCTTGATTAATGTAATAATCAAGCCAGGAGAGGTCAAAGCATGCCAGTACTTCCATACTTGGTTATAAAGATGACAAAAAAATAATAGAATTATTCTGGTGGATGGCGACATACATCCACAATGTGGGACTGACCACCTGAAAACAGTTGGTGTAGTTATATGGGCCACTGGATTTGGAAAATCCAGAAACAAAAATTTCTTATTCTTCCTCCTCCTGTTACTCCTTATCTCAGTGTAACCTTCAAATTTCTCCCTTCCTGAGAACAAAAATAGGTTCAATTCTCTCCGATTCAGCAATCAGACTCCAATGATATTACATCTCATTCAATGCCAAAATGGACTGGATTGGAAACAGCAACAGTACTACTGTCCCTGTACCTCAAGATCTTTACTTCAGCTGGTAGGTACAAGATGGGCAAAAGAAAACAAATACAATGATAGCATAATGACATTTCCCAAATCTCAAAATATTCTCAACTGCAATTTAGGTTTAAAATTCAGTTCTTGAATTAGTCATTTAAGTATTTGTCCCAAATCAAAAATTAGGATGGCATTCTATACTTTACCAATTTTAATTTCTCTTATTTAAATGATTATGAAATAAAGAATCTATTTTGAAAACTAATGTAATAAATATAACAGATGCAGGAGGATAGCCACCAAGTGGCTGATGCACATACTAGTGAGGGAAAATGCAACATATTTGAGACATACATTTCAGGACATTCTCTAACTTCACCGATTTCTGTTTGGAGGATGCGCAATTGCCTCTGGGCACATATTACACAGTGAAATAGAAAGAGACAGTACCTGCCAAAAGAATTTATAATCTTCAGGAAGAAGATAAACATCCCACACTCACATACTTGTTAGTATGCATAAGCACATAACCTAATTGTATGAAAAGGATTTAATATTCTGGGTGCCAATGCTCCATCCAGTTAAGCATCAGTGAGCACGAATAAGGGAGCTCAGTTATTCAAGAAACTTTTTTGGTAACTTTCTACTAAAACCTAATGTTTATAAATTATCAGGAGGAAATGCACTATATGCCAGGGAGTTCAGTAAATATTCTACTTCATCTTGACACCAGGCATCAGAGTACACCCAAGGACAAGTAATAATCCTTGGAAAATGTGCAGATAGCTGGATCATGTTGCTTAAAAATGGAATATCCTTTCTCACAACGAAATGCCTCAAGGAAATTTTGTGCATATCTCAGGTCCAAACACTTTGTGCTTCAGAATCCCTTAAGCATGTGCTTCTCTCCCCTTGGTTTGGTGAGAATGCATGGTGCAGAATTCTGATATAGTCTTTGTGAATCCAGTATATGATATCATTAAAATAGCTCAGATAAGTCAGTAAATTAGGAGGAAAAGGTAATTCTAATAATTTACTGAAGGCACAGAGATGTCATAACCCATGGAGATGCCAGGGCATATATCTCAGTGCACAGCTCCAGAGGTCACTATTTACTTGGAATTGGGAGTTCCATTCCCTCAGGACACAAGAGGAATGAGGCTTGGGAAATTGAAGAGTAGAAGGCCCAAGCTCCTACTCAAGCTCCACTTTTACCTGTTTTATATTTGGCTTATAGGTAAGATTTAAGGAAAGCCTGAAAACATTGACTTAGGTTACTTTGTGAGAAATCAAAATGGCTTAGAAAGCTGTTTGTCTTCTACTTGTGTTTTTCCTACTCATTCAAGAAAAGTAAAGAAAGGAAAAAGGCAAAACATATATTGGGCACATATATATGCCACATACCCTAGCAAAGACCAAGTGCTTTAACATGCATAATTACAACTAACAGCAAAACAATCCTATGCTTTATTATCCAAATTTGCAGAATCTCAGTGAAAACTGAGATCCAGAGAGGTAAGGGAGCTACCTTGAGCACAAGCAAGGTAGTAAGCAGAAGAGTGGAAAGATAAATCCAGGACTCTAAGATTTATGATCTTGCATCTATAACATCTTGCTTTCCAAGATGACAGGACTCATGGTGGCAGGGAGCGCTCTCTGTGCACTGCACAATGGCAACCTGTGGAAATTAAAATGCTGTCTTTTAGGGTCAATTTATATACCATATTATTCCAGGTTCTAGTATAGATAAATAGCAGCAGAAGCCAAATATTTAAGACAATTTCAATTTCTATCCATTAAATAATTTTCCATAGAAATTAGGGAAACCACAATTGTCTTATTTTAGCATGAAAACCCGCTTATTAGGGAGAATAAGTGGAAACAGAATCCCAGGGAACCTGCAACCGCTCTAATACAGTCCCTTCCCTATAGCAGCACTGAGATAAGGTCTTCCTTTCTGCCTTCCACCAGCCCTGCCTGGCCTTCCCTCCTCTTAACAATGCTTCAATTCTATAATTTTGCTTCAGCGTTAAAGGGGCAAGTGAAAGCTCAGAGAGCTCAAGGATCTGTGTTTTTCTTCCATTTTAAATGAGAGCTCCATAGCAGAATACTAGAGTTTCATGCCCAGTGGAGGATGCAATACTGTGTAATCACTGTTTTCTTAGGCTGTGTTTGACATTGTTCTGTTTCTGCCCTATTTGAATTTTCTACACCCCCTTTAGCCTGAAATCATCATTATATCCCCAAGTGGCACCAAAAGTAGAGCAACATAAAACTACTACTTGATCTACATTTAAGGAGTATCTTTTGAAGATAAAAATTCTTCAGCTTCATAAAATTTTAAGGCTTTTATTTTCTTATTGCCATTTGTCATCCCCCTTTCTCAATGCTATTCATTGGGCCAAGCCCTCTACTACATAGAAATAACAAGTGAAAAACATGGGGACAAAAGGAGACAAGAAGAGGACAGAAGGGTAGTGTTTAGGGTTGTAAGAGTGACACCTTTGTGCACAGAACCTAAAGTGGAGCGTGTTGGGGAACAAGGGGCTGTGAGAGAGAGAATGTCTGGCAGCATCTGAGAATTTGGGATGCAGGGACTATCAATGTGAATAAATGCATCCAGCATACATATATAAATAAGGCAGGAACCATTGAGGGTGAAGTAAATTCAAATTTTTGAAACACCTACCTGCACCAAGTCCCAGATATACTTATCAAATCAGTGTAAACAACTCAGTAAACATTTATAAAACTAAGAAACATTTTCTCTCACACCCAAGAATCTCAATATCCTGAGTATCTAGTGGGTCCACTGTCTGACTCATTTGCTTTTTCTCCTTCCCACTAGCAGACAGAGAGCAGGTTAAACAGCTCGTTTAAATGAGGTTTGAAATTGCACGTGAACTTTGATTATCATAGTCACTCCTTTCTCCCATTTTCCTAAACAATCGAGCTGACTGCACAGAGCCATTTTAAAAATAAATTGGCATTCTTAACTACACAGCTGGCATAGATTGTTACTCACCCTTGGTTACTCTGACTTGCAAAACTGATCTATGTGAAGATGTAAAAATCTCCATATGTTACTGTGACATTCTTAAATGGTCACAGACTTGGGCTATGAAAGCACATCTAGCAATAAAGGGTCATCCTCAGCTAAAATGTTAATTCTTTTAGCAGCTGAAAAGTCTGCCCTCTTGGACATACCTCAGAGCTGAAACCTTATTACATAAGGCACAATCTCATTGGGCATGCAGAGTAAATAACCTCGTTAAGAATGTAGTGTGAAGAACTGCAGTTCAAATGGGGTCAAAGGGGGTGAACAAAGTAAGAGGAAGAGGCAGTCAAGTGTAAGACCGCTATGGGGTGTAATTTATGGTCTTTAATAATTTGGGCATGTCAAGTGTTAAGAGAACTGTTTGCTTGGCACCAGACAGGGGCTAATGAAAGCACCCAATGAGGAAACCTGACTCAGGATGCTGAAAACCTGCCCCAATGAGCTAAGGGAATGATGGTACAGGGCTCTGCAGGGTCAGCTGGCCTGCTGACCAAAGCTGTCAGAGAAGCCAGGCTTGAGGCAACTAAGAAAGAGCTTAATTATCCAGACTTTTTCATTAGAATTGGGACTAAACAGCAGGAGAAGTGTGCTGGACCACCAATTAGGTTACTTAGAAGGTTACTCAGTTTAAGATGAGAAGTAGAGGTGAGGCAGAGCCTGGAGGAGGCAAACATCAAAAGCCCTTTTGGCCATCAGGGGGTTCCCCTTCCTACTGTGGACCAGGCCATTCCCATGACCTAACACTTCAGTAGGTCTTCATTTCTGGCACCATTGAAATTCTGGCCTTCTCTCTCAGAGAAGAATGTCATAACCCATGATACCCACTGAACTTTAGTCAGTGCAATTTTAAGATATTTTACTGCACATTGAGTTTTACTGCCAAATGCTATTATTATTACAATTCTCTTTTTAAGAAAACCACACTATAACAAAAGCATGTTTTTCTAACAGCTGCCCTCATCAGAGTTCACAGAATGAACTTCAGTGGCAGGATCACTCAAGAAGACATTTGAAGCAGAAAATATTCATTCTGGCTCCCACTTCATTTATGTTCCCAGAGAAACCCTTCTCCACACTCTGAATACATCCTGAATCTCTAACAATAAAAGCCTGAATCATTAAGCATGCTAGCACTAGACTATGTCCTAAGTCACTCAATCACTATGGAAAATTTGGTATATGACAGAATTTAAGAGAATTTTAGCCACTCGACTATTAAGATCTTTTTTTTTAACTGTAGTGTTAACTACAGACACTAGTTGGCTAAATACTCTAAACCTGAAATATAGAAAATATATTTAAAATACAGACACTACCTGAAGTACACAAACTCCATACCTGAAATACCTAAAGAATCCTAGCCAAGAATAATCCCAGAACCTTACGTCCTCACTTTCGTGTCTTTGTTTGGAAGATATATTCATATTTACCTACAAAACTTTCCAAGATTTTTGGATCTCCTGCTTCTGGCCATGAAGAAGTTGGCAGAAAAAAATAAATTAAATTTGTTTGAGTTCATTGTAGATTCTGGATATTAGCCCTTTGTCAGATGAGTAGGTTGTGAAAATTTTCTCCCATTCTGTAGGGTGCCTGTTCACTCTGATGGTAGTTTCTTTTGCTGTGCAGAAGCTCTTTAGTTTAATTAGATCCCATTTGTCAATTTTGGCTTTTGTTGTTTTAGACAACAAAACACCATTGCTTTTGGTGCTTTAGACATGAAGTCCTTGCCCATGCCTATGTCCTGAATGGTAATGCCTAGGTTTTCTTCTAGGGTTTTCATGGTTTCAGGTCTAACATTTAAGTCTTTCATCCATCTTGAATTAATTTTTGTATAAGGTGTAAGGAAGAGATCCAGTTTCAGCTTTCTACATATGGCTAGCCAGTTTTCCCAGCACCATTTATTAAATAGGGAATCCTTTCCCCATTGCTTGTTTTTGTCAGGTTTGTCAAAGATCAGATAGTTGTTGATATGCAGCATTATTTCTGAGGGCTCTGTTCTGTTCCATTGGTCTATATCTCTGTTTTGGTACCAGTACCGTGCTGTTTTGGTTACTGTAGCCTTGTAGTATAGTTTGAAGTCAGGTAGCGTGATGCCTCCAGCTTTGATCTTTTGGCTTAGGATTGACTTGGCAATGCAGGCTCTTTCTTGGTTCCATATGAACTTCAAAGTAGTTTTTTCCAATTCTGTGAAGAAAGTCATTTGTAGCTTGATGGAGATGGCATTGAATCTATAAATTACCTTAGGCAGTATGTCCATTTTCACGATATTGATTCTTCCTACCCATGAGCATGGAATGTTCTTCCATTTGTTTGTATCCTCTTTTATTTCATTGAGCAGTGGTTTGTAGTTCTCCTTGAAGAGGTCCTTCATATCCCTTGTAAGTTGGATTCCTAGGTATTTTATTCTCTTTGAAGCAACAGTGAATGGGAGCTCACTCATGATTTGGCTGTTTGTCTGTTATTGGCGTATAAGAATGCTTGTGATTTTTGCACATTGATTTTGTATCCTGAGACTTTGTTGAAGTTGCCTATCAGCTTAAGGAAATTTGGGGCTGAGACGATGGGGTTTTCTAAATATACAATCATGTCATCTGCAAACACGGACGATTTGAATTCCTCTTTTCCTAACTGAATACCTTTTATTTCCTTCTCCTGCCTGATTGCCCTGGCCAGAACTTCCAACACTATGTTGAATAGGAGTAGTGAGAGAGGGCATCCCTGTCTTGTGCCAGTTTTCAAAGGGAATGCTTCCAGTTTTTTCCCTGGATATTGGCTGTGGGTTTGTCATAGATAGCTCTTATTATTTTGAGATACTTCCCATCAATACCTAATTTATTGAGAGCTTACAAGAAAAAAACAACCCCATCAAATAGTGGGCGAAGGATATGAACAGACACTTCTCAAAAGAAGACATTTATGCAACCAAAAGACACATGAAAAAATGCTCATCATCCCTGGCCATCAGAGAAATGCAAATCAAAACCACAATGAGATACCATCTCACACCAGTTAGAATGGCAATCATTAAAAAGTCAGGAAACAACAGGTGCTGGAGAGGATGTGGAGAAATGGGAACACTTTTACACTGTTGGTGAGACTGTAAACTAGTTCAATCATTGTGGAAGTCAGTGTGGTGATTCCTCAGGGATCTAGAACTAGAAATGCCATTTGACCCAGCAATCCCATTACTGGGTATATACCCAAAGGATTATAAATCATGCTGCTATAAAGACACATGCACATGTATGTTTACTGCGGCACTATTCACAATAGCAAAGACTTGGAACCAAGCCAAATGTCCAACAATGATAGACTGGGTTAAGAAAATGTGGCACATATACACCATGGAATACTATGCAGCCATAAAAAATGATGAGTTCATGTCCTTTGTAGGGACATGGATGAAGCTGGAAACCATCATTCTCAGCAAACTATCGCAAGGACAAAAAAAACAAACATCGCATGTTCTCACTCATAGGTGGGAATTGAACAATGAGAACACATGGACACAGGAAGGGGAACAGCACACATCGGGACCTGTTTTAGGGTGGGGGAGTGGGGAGGGATAGCATTAGGAGATACACCTAATGTTAAATGACGAGTTGATGGGTGCAGCACACCAACATGGCACATGTAAACATATATAACTAACCTGCACGTTGTGCACATGTACCCTAAAATTTAAAGTATAATAAAAAAAAAGAAAATTAATTACCTATTTGACATTAAATATATTTTAATAGCTTTGAGAATTTTTACTGTAAGCGTTTTAATTTTAATTGACAAATATTTATTTTTGCAACAGTACTTAATAAGTAAAAATATGTATTTTAATATATATATTTAATATATATTTAATATATATATTAGCATTCAAATAAATGTTTTTCTTTCCATTTTTACACTTCTGTGTTAGTATTTCATACTTCAAACCCAAGGAAGGTCATAAGTCTTGCTGTTATGGTAATATATTCTGTGTTAAAACATTCTCTATTTTAAAACAGGTATGTATGTATGTATGTATATATTTATATGCATATACACATATATTCCTTTCTTTGTTATGAGATGGTTTTTCTTTCAGCTTAAATACATTTTTATTTCAGTGTTGGTTTGAGGGGAAAAGCTAAATCTACACTGTTTCAGTACAACTTAATGGTAGAATAGAATATGGATAAGAAAGAACTTCAATAATTTTATCCTTTCATTACAATTTATTGTCTTGGTATTTGTTGGGGTTCGGAATGGGGAGGGGTGGTGGTCTGTCCTCTGCATCATGGCAGCTTTCCTTCCAAACAGAAAATGAGCAGGCATGAAATGCAGCCTGACCCAGGATAATAGCTCAGGATAATACATGCTACTTGGTGGATTAATAATTTATAAGATTTTTTCCATCTTTGCTTGGAATACAAATGAACATATTCTTGTCTCACTTAAAGTGATTTCTCACTCGGGGCTAAAGAGATGTTTAACACCTTAAATTCTATGGTCTTTGCTTTTCTGATTATATTACCCAGGAAATAAGCTAAACAACTGGAGTGCTTGGCAAGAGAGTCACATTCCACATCCCAACAACATATAAATAATCTCCATTTACATAAAAGTCCCAAAAGGTTAGAAGGTACAGCTTCACCATCATACACACACACACACACACACACACACACACACACACACACACACACCCCATGTCAATATGACATTTTTCAGCAAAGATTTCCATTCCACATTAAATGTGTGTATTTGTGTGTGTGCACATGTACTTTGCATAACAGCAATTTCATGTTTCCAAATGCTATATTCATGTTTTCTGCCAGCCAGCAGGATAGTCCCCTGATGAAATTCTGGTGTGGCAGGAGGGGAGGTGGTGCCTGCCCACAAGAGCACAACGAAAGTCTAGAGCCTGTATTTTGTGCTGTAAGTTGACCTAGAGAGAAAACATTTTGTTGTGGACAGATACCTTTGAATACATCATTAGAGATAATTATATTCCCCCTTTAGGCAAGTGTTGAGGTTAATCTACAAATATGGACTGCCTCTTGATTTCTATTAATTTGGTTTGCTCTTTGATGATGTTGATTAACAACATTCATTTTAATGAGGGAATATCCCTCCTGCAGGCCCCTTCCTTTCTTACTTTGCCTGGTATTGGTGCAGTCACTGTTACAGAATGCAGTGACATCATAACTTCTGTGATTAGGAATAATTCCATATGTAAGTAGAGTCAAAGATAACTAAAATCACTGTAATACTTAAGAGATTTTTGTGTTCAAATATTTTTGTTAAAAATAAACATACTACTTTTTAATGAAATAAAATAAAAATATTGTTTGTGTTACCTGAAAAGAAAGAAGGCTTTTTAAAGGCATTAATAAAAACATATGGGCAGAGAGCAGAAAGAAAAGATGTTTAAGACCAAATAAAAATTGAATTCCTATAATCATGTAGCAAGAATGAAACTTAAGCCCCAGGCTCTCAGAGATCCGAGAAAAAGGCTGAGGGTTTCAAAGTGTAATCCCAGTTGAGAAGATATTCAGCTAACCTTGTAACTACCTAGGGTAATGAATGCCACCTCAAACACCCATCAAAAGGCAACTATCAGGAGCCAACAGTTTTTTCTTACAACTGGTCTTACACACACAGACACATGCTCTCACACTCACATAGTGTCCCAAATGTATTTGTAGCTGTGCTCTTTGAATCATTCACCATTTTCCCTAGTCCTTGCATCTAAAGGACATACAAGACAAACATTCTAACTCTGTGATTTCCAATATTACAGTCAAATTCTGAGAAAATTTCACCTAAAATAAACAGCAGTATGTTATACCTAGCTATTCTTTTTGCAAAAATTAGATTTTTTGAGCAATAATGTTGGAGAGAGCTATAGAAGCTTATTTGGAGCTTACTGTGGTCTTGCATTTTAATTTGAAAAGGAGAATAACACAACAGAATCAGTTGAAAACCTATTAAAATTAATTTTTTTAAAGTTCAGTAAAAATCTCTAGTACAAGATACATTTTAAAAAATCATCCTCCCTAAACTGCCAAAAACTAGTCAGAAAATATATTGGAATAATAACTCATATTTACAACAGCAGTAAAAAACATGATACCTGGCCAGTCGCAGTGGCTCACTCCTGTAATCCCAGCACTTTGGAAGGCCGAGGCAGGTGGATCATGAGGTCAGGAGATCAAGACCATCCTGGCCAACATGGTGAAACTCCGTCTCTACTAAAAATACAAAAAAATTAGCCGGGCGTGATGGCGCACGCCTGTAGGCCCAGCTACGCAAGAGGCTGAGGCAGAAGAATTGCTTTAACTAGGGAGACAGAGGCTGCAGTGAGCCGAGATCATGCCACTGCACTCCACCCTGGGCAACAGAGTGAGACTCCATCTCAAAAAAACAAAAACAAACAAACAAACAAAAATGATACCTAGAAATAGTTGAAAGATCAAATGTGTATAATTTACATGATGAAAAACAGAGTTTTCAAAAAATATAAAAAGGGAAGACAAAAAATAAGAAGAAATTCTATTTTCTTGGGGAAAAAAAGGCTTAGTCTTATAAAGACGTCAATTCTTTCCAAATCAATTTATAAATTTTGAGTGATTTAGATCAAAATTTAAATGAGGGATTTACTTTTATTGGAACTTGGCAAAAATGTTTAAATTATCTGGAAGAATAAATAGGCAAATATAAATAAAAAGAAAGTTGATAAAGAATAAAAACGAAGAAACTAGTTCAATCAGATCCAGAAACATATTATAAGGGTACAATAATTAAATCTGCAAACAATATTGAGAATCAATAGCATAGAAACAAACCCGAATGTGTAGAGTTGCCTAACAGAAATGTAATATGAGCCATATATAATTTAAAATTTTGTAATAATAACATTTTTAAAGTAAAAGTGAAATAGCATGTTTATGTTATTTACATATCATATAAATATATCATATATTCATATCATATATCATATATATAAAATATATATTTACATATCAATATAATATATATCAATATAGTATATTATGTATCATTATATAACATATATCATGTTGATATATTGACAAATTATCATGTCAACATGTTATAAATACCAAAAATTATTGAGATGAGTTACATTTTGTTGTTGTTCTAAGTATTTGAAATCTACCATATGTATTTTAAACTCACAGCACACCTCAGTTTGGTCTAGCCATATTTCACATGCTCAACAACCAAGTACTGCTAGCAACTACTCTACAGTGCAAGTATAAAGAAAATTAATACATGATAAAAGAAGTACAATAAGTTCAGTAAGTTATATTAAAGCAATTTTCTCCTTTGATTGAAAAGAGAAAAAATAAAAGTTTAGCTATTACACATATCTCAAACAATAAACAGTATAAGCTCAAAGGAGATAAGAGTTAAATGCTTTAAAAAGTCAAACTTTAAGACTCAAAAACAATATAAGTCGTTCTTTGCCAAATCTCTACAGAGGGAAAAAAAACTCCAGCATTAAAAGCAACATAATTCTCAAAACGTGTAGTCAACAGATTTGATGATGTAAAATTTCAAAACTTTTTCATATCTAAAGTCAAAAGACAACTGATAAGATCAAATGTTTGCTAAAAATATGACAAACAGGATTTTAATCTTTTTGAATAGCTCATGTAAAACCCACCTCACTAGTAATCCCAGAAATGTATATTTAAACAAGGCTATTTAATGTTCCTTTCTTCCTCAGCCATCGCTAATGCCAGTGTGTCTTCTTGATCTGTTTTCATTTTTCTCCTCTTTGATAGAACCATTGTGGGTGTGGCGATGCTTAGCAGGTACTCTGACATCATATCTTCTGCCATGTGGAAGAATTCTGTGTATAAACGGACTCAAAAATAACTACAATTATTGTAATACCTGAATTATTTAGTGCTCAAAGAATTTCAAGAGAGACAAAGAAAGAGGCAGAAAGAACCATGGCATACCTGAGTTGAAAGGACCTGGGACATCTAAAAAACAATGAAGGAATGAAAATAAACCTGCTACACAAAGTCAAGGTACTTCTGTTTTCTAAATCCTCACAACTACAGATATCAAAGGTGACCTCAAATGTTCAGCTGCTGCAATGGTATATAACAACAAATAATACAAAGAATAATGATCAAAGAAATAATTTTTAACACCAATGTTTGCAACAGTGAAAGAAAAGCATGAGTAAGACATAGGACCCAGCCCACTCAAATCATAATGAATGTTGCAACTGTTCACACAGTATCTACTACGTGCCTGGTGCTACCTAATCTAATTCCCACAATAACTCTATGATGTAGGTATTGCAAATACTCTCATTTTACAAACAGGGCATCTGAGGTACAGAGTGTTAAGTAACATTTTTAGGAACACGTTGTTAATAAACTATGGATTAATTACTATCCTGCCCATAGGAGACTTAACCACATTCTAAAAAGCAGACTAAACTTTAGCGAATTAAATATTTAATGAAAGCTTATTATGTAAGCATATTAGTTTTAAAGAGGCCCAATTTATGACACAATTGAGCTTTATTTTATATGCTAAAGTAATATTTGTGATACTGTGGAATTCTTTACATATGCCAAGCTAAGAAGTGCATTAAAATGATTTTATAAGATTTAGAACAGGCTGTACTATGTAAGTTTTTGTAGCGGTTTATAGTTGTTCTGCCTTTTCCTCGAGGATTGTGATGGCTTATATAAGTGGCCAAGTCTTTGATCACTAGTATCACTGGAATAATTAATAGATTTTCATTTCCCCCTTTGCTCCAGGGAAAGGGGAACAGGAAAGATGACCTTATTAGGGAAGAGAATGTGATATGGAGAATATCCCATCAAACAAGGAGAGGGGGAGGTGAAAAGGCTATTTCCTTCCAGCCCCTTTGGATTTGGAAAATAGGGGGAAGGAAGCAAAGAAAGGAGGCAGTGAGGCCAGGCCTTCCTGACCGCATTCTCCAGACTCAAATCAGAGAGAATATTTTTGTTAATTAGGTTTAAGAGAAAACACAAAGGAGAGAGGAGCTGTGGCCACATTCCCGTTTGTGACTAAGAGAGCAGACTGCTTTGTAAAACACATGAGCCCACACTGCAACCTGCTGCTCTAGATGGAGAGTGACAGCTTTGTGTGAGTGAGGAACCCCAGCCACCCTGGGCTCCTGTGTGGCATCAAAGAGCTTGGATAGTCTCACAAACTGTGGGGTTGGAGAGTGGGGGTCAAGGATAGTCTATCTCTGGAGCCTACCTGAGGTTTTGTCTTGATGGAGTAATATGACCCTGTGACTCTGGGCTAGAAAGTAAGTTACTCAGCCTGGAGACTGAAAGGAGCCACAATCAGACCTCAGGCAGAGGGCAAGAGCCAGCAACGATGAAGCTGGAGGTGGGTGAGGCTGATAGAATCCATCAGGAATTCACCAGCCATAGAGTGAGGATCAAATGGCACACCTGGAAAACAGGGACAATCTCAGAAACCAGAGGCCCAGAGGAAAGGAGAAAGCCCTAGAAGCATGGGTCTCAGGCCACCCTTATCTCTGTCACTTCTAAAGCTTCCACATTCTACCCCAAATGCCCTACACCGACTCCATCTTGGAGACAAGTCTGGAAGGGGAAGAATATCTGAAAGTTGTTAGCACTTACCTCAAAGAGACTGAGTTACCACTGTTTTAAATTCTTGAAAAGGACTATAATTTTTATGTTGGATTAAATTTTACTTGCCTTCATGTATTCAGCAGGGAAGAGCTCAGGAGAAAGAAGAAATGTACAGAAAAAAAAATAAGCTATATTTGGTATGTGTGTGATTTGAATGTTCTTGTTACTTCAATTCAGTATTTCCTGTGGCAAAATGGGATCTGCCTTACAAAGGGACCCACTTTATAAAGGCATTTTCTCAGATTGTCATGTTGTGGCAGAGAAAAGGAGAGAAAGAGAGCGAAAGACAAAGATAGAGAAATAGACACACACAGAAAGAGAGAGAGAATGAGAGAGACCCTGCTTTGGCATTAAAGTTTCTTTGTAGAGAAATCTGCCATGACTTAAAGTATTGCCTCTTTCTTAATATGTGCCAAGCACTGTTTTAAATACTTTCAAGAATGAACTCATTAAATTCTCATAATTACCCCACGAGGGAGAATTTATACCCTCCATTTTACAGATTCAAAAACTGATGTCTGGAAAGATTAAGCTACTCATTGTACAGCTGGTATGTAGCAAAGCTCCATGGTTTATACTCTTATCATCTACTCTATGTGCCTTCTTTAGTAAAATAAGTCATTTCTAGGCTAAATCTGTCCACTTCTCTACTTTACCTCTGTTAGCTAGGGGTTGCTCATCAAAGATGAGCCTTCACCTTTCAGTGGGCCCACTCCTCTGACAGACCTCTCCCTTGAGCTCCAGGACCTCATTGAGGGATGTTTCCACTTGAATGTGTCATCAACACATCCAACTTGGCAGGCTGCAAGACCAACACAGCCTCTTCCTCCCAGAATCACTCTTATTTTTGTGTTCTCCATTTCTAATTGGCACCAGCATCTTCTCAAGCCATACCCAGAATTAATCTTAGAACCATCCTTGGTTTCTCATCCTCTACATCTAATCTGTCATCAGGTCCTATACAATCAACCTCTCTCTAACCTCTCACATTCTGACTCATCTCTCCTTTCATCTCAACTTAAGGGTTAAGAATATGGGCTCTAGAACTGGAACTAGTTAAAATCCTGACTCCACTGCTTCCTAGATACATGACCTCGAGTGATTCATTTAACCTGCCATTGTCTTAGCTTCCCCATCTGTAAAATAAGAATAAATAACAGTACGGTAGTTCCCCCTTAGCCACAGCGGATATGTTCCAAGACCCCCAGCGGATGCCTGAAACTGCAGATTGTACTGAAGCCCACTGCCATCAATCCGAACACATTTCTGTTCATGTCTTCCATCCACAAATTTAATGCTTTTTCTGTGTTTACTCAGCACTTATCACACACTATGGCTGTAACTTTTTCAGTTTGAACTCTGATAAGAAAACTGGCATGCATTTTCTTTCCTTCTTTACCATTTCACAGATAGAAGATTTGTTCTTATAGATATTAGCCAACTCAGCATACAATATTTTTTCTTTCTTTAAGTTGAGAACTTTCATCTTTTCACTTAAAGGAGGTACTTTATGGATTCTCTGTGGCATATCTGAATTTCCGGCATCACTATTCTTGTACCTTGGGATTATTAAGTAAATCAAGGTTGCTTGAACACAAGCCTTGTGATACCACAATAGTCGATCTTATAACCAGGACAGCTAATGGGCAGGGAACATAGATGGTGAATATTTGCTGATAAAGGGACGATTCATGTCTCAGGTGGGACAGAACGGGATGACACAAGATTTCATCACCCTATTCAGAATGGCATGCCATTGAAGATATATGAATGTTTAACTTACGAATTTTCCATTTAATTTTTTTTAGGCCATGATTGACACAGTAAAGTAAAACCGCAGACAAGGGGACTACTGTACCTATTGCTCAGGGTTGATGTAAGAATTAAATTTATGCCTGAAAGCACTTGGAACAGTGCCTTTTACATAATAAATGTATGTTTTTATCACTCTTGTTCATGTTCTTTTTTATCACCACCACGGTGCTATGACAGGTTCAGTCCCTCTTTACCTTTCACTTGAGCAAATTATAGCACACTCATAGCTACTTCCAAAGTCCTCCTTCCAACCCCATTTCTCCAATCCAAGCTGCATATGCTAAACCAAAGCAGAGATTTGATGGTGTCACTCTATAATTCCTCAGCATTAGCACGATAAAGGACAAACCCTTCAGTACAGCATTCAAGGTTCTCCATAACTTAGCCTATTCTATTATCTGTATCTCCCATCCCTCTCGTGTTGTGCTGTAGCTCTACTGAATTACTCACAGCTTGCTGAAAAGAGCATATATTATTTGGTTTAGTGATTTTGTTCACACTCCTGCCTCTGCCTGTGATATGGTTTGGCTGTGTCCCCACCCAAGTCTCATCTTGAATTGTAGCTCCCATAATTCCCACATGTTGTGGGAGGCACCTGGTGGGAGATAAATGAATCATGGGGGCCGTTTCCCCAAAACTATTCTCATGGTAGTAAATAAGTCTCACAAGATCTGATAGTTTTAGAAGGGGAAACCCTTTTCACTTGGCTCTCATTCTCTGTCTTACCTGCCACCATGTAAGACATGCCTTTTACCTTCTGCCATGATTGTGAGGCCTCCCCAGCCACGTGGAACTGTGAGTCCATTAAACCTCTTCTTTTTTATAAAGCACCTAGTCTCTGGTATATCTTTATCAGCAGTGTGTAAAGGGACTACTATGGCCTGAAATATCTTCTTCCAACTCAGTCCTTATTTCAGCACACCTAGAAATCTCCCTAGTTAACTTATGAGCTGAGTTTTGAAAGACATTTCCTCTATTAAGAATTTCCTGTTACTTCCCCCAACACCCATTTCCTCTTCCTAATTCAGAAAGAAAACTACTTTTTGTGTCATACACCATACTCCATACACAGTACTTACCTTAGACCTAGCCAACTAAGGTTTCTGAGCCAGGCCCAGTACTACTCTGTCTTTTATTTGACTGTGATCTTCCCCATGGAGCAAGGAATCCAAAAGAAAAAACAAGGACTTGAGCAACACAAAACTAGAAACCTGTGTCTCCCCTACCTTGTAGACCCAATAACTTGGGTCTCAGAATTCTCTGCTCGGTGGTCCTGATCCCTCTTCCAGAGCCTGCAAAGGCCTCTTTTCATCTGACTCCCAAGGGTCCCATACTATCAACATACTCATCCCTCAGCCACAGGGATCAAAAAGGGCTAATTATTTGGACTAAGGGGGTAGACGAGGAATAAAATTAAGCATGAAATTTGAAGTGTCTATATATGGATGCAAGGTTCTACGTGGTGTAGGATGGAGCTAGGGATGAGAGGAGAATGTAGTGGGAGGGTGGAGGCACCATCTGTTCTCTTTTCTTAAAAATGATAGGGTAGTATAATTATATACCTGGCTGTATAGTTTCTGTCAGAGAATCTATAAATATTTCTTGTTAACCAACCTTATAAACATTTCCACAACTTAAATGTATGAATATAGTCCTATCTTATTTCACATTCAAACTTAAAAAAAAAGCACAGTTCATTCTCATTTTCATGCTAGCTATGTTCTATAAAGTGTCATGAACAGTAAATTAGAGAACACTGAACCACTGCTCCTAGAGGAAATACAGGATTAGGTTCCTGTGAGCCTCTGGTTACCTTTCCATCAACTGATCAATGCATAGCCTTGTTTTAAGCAGAAACACATAGCCTATAATTTTATTTTCTCTCCTTTCTTTGCATATAAGTTATACTTCTTTTGAAACATTTTTTAGTGGTTGCCCTAGAGTTTGCAATATGTATTTACAGCTATCCCAAGTCTACTTTCAAATAACATTATAGTGCTTCATAGGTAGTGTGAGCACTTTATAATAACAAATTAATCCTAATTCTTCCCTCCTGCTGTTATTCACTTTACTTATATGTAGGCATACATAAGCATATATATGTATATATATATATATATATGTAATTTAATATACTGTGGCTACCCCTGTTTTGAACAAACTTACCTGTTAGATCAAATAACAATAAGAAAAATAAAGGTTTTTATTTGCCTCCACTTATTCCTTCTTTAATGTTCATATTTTCCTTATATTTCTGACCTAGAACATTTTCCTTATTTCTAAAGGACTTCTTTTTAACATTTCTGGCAAGGTAGGTCTACTGGCAACAAATTTGCTCCATTTTTGTTTGTCTGAGAAAGTCTTTATTCCTCCTCTTTTGAAGAATTATTTTTCAGGGAACAGAATTCTAGGTGGGAGTTTTTTTCTCAGCATTGTAAATATTTCACTTCACTCTCTGCTTATTTGCAGGTCTGAGAAGCTGGATGAAATTCTTATGTTTGCTCCTTAATAAATAAGGTGTTTTTATTTCCTCTGGATTCCCTCAAGATTTTTTCTTTAACTTTTTGTTGTTTGAAAACAACTTCTCTAGGCATAGTTTTCTTTGCATATATCTTGCTTATTGTTGTCTGAGCTTCCTACATCTGTGGCTTGGTGTCTGACATTAATTTGGGGGAAACTCCCAGTTGTCATTATTCAAATATTTCTTCTATTTTTTTTCTTTCTCTTCTTTGAGTATCCTCATTATGTGTATTTACACCTTTTGCAGTTGTCCCACAGTTCCTGAATATTCTGTTCCTATTGTTTTTAGTCATTATTTTCTTTGCTTTTCAGTTTTGGAGGTTTGTACTGATATATATTCAAGCTCAGAGATTCTTTTCTCAGCCTTATCTAGTCTACCAATAAGCCTATCAAAAGCATTCTTCAAGAAGTTCTTGATACAGGAATTAGACTAGAGAATGAAATAAAGGGCATCCAAACTGGAAAGAAAGAAATCAAATTATCTTCATTTATGGATTATATGATCTTACATTTGGAAAAACCTAAAGATTCTTTCAAAAAAAAATAACTATTAGAACTGATAAATTCAGTAAGGTTGCAGGATACAAAATTTACATAGAAAAATCAGTAGTATTTCTATATGCCAACAATGAGCAATCTGAAAAAGAAATCAAGAAAGCAATCCCAATTATAATAGCTGCAAATGAAATTAAATACCTAGGAATTAACCAAAGAAGTGAAAGATCTCTGCAGTGAAAACTATAAAACATTGATGCAAGAAATTGAAGAGTGCACACACAAAGAAAGAAAATATATTCCATGTCCATGAAATGGAAGAATCGGTATTGTTAAAATGTTCATACTGCCCAAAGAAATCTACAGGATCTATACAATCCCTATCAAAATACAAATGACATTCTTCACAGAAATACAAAAAGCAATCTTAAAATTTATACGAAATCACAAAAGACCCAGAGTAGCCAAAGCTATCTTGAGCAAAAATAACAAAACTGGAGGAATCACATTATCTGACTTCAAATTATATTACAGAGCTATAGTAACCAAAACAGCATGCTACTGGCATAAAAGCAGACACAGAGACCAATGGAACAGAATGGAGAATCCAGAAGCCAATCCATACATCTACAGTGAACTCATTTTTGACAAAACTGCCAAGAACACACACTGGGAAAAGAACATGCACTCTTCAATAAATGGTTCTGGGAAAACTGGATATCTATATGCCAAAGAATGAAACTAGACTTCTCTCACCATATACAAAAATCAAATGAAAATGGATTAAAGACTTAAATCTAAGACCTCAGACTATGAAATTAGTAAAACAATACTTTCAGGAAAATCTCCAGGACATTGGCCTGGGCAAAGATTTCTTGAGCAAAACCCCACAAGCACAGGCAACCGAAACAAAAATGGACAAATGGGATCACATCAAGTTGAAAAGCTTCTGTATAGCAAAGAATACAATCAACAAAGTGAAGAGACAACCCACAGAACAAGAGAAAATATTTGAAAACTACCTATCTCTCAAGGAATCTATAATCAGAATATATAAGGAGCTGAAACAACTCTATAGGAAAATAATCTAATAATCTGATTTAAAATGAATAAAAGATCTGAACAGACATTTTTCAAAAAAACACATATGAATGGCAAACAGGTATGTGAAAAAGTGTTCAACATCATTGATCATCAGAGAAATGCAAGTCAAAACTACAATGAGATGTCATCTTACCCCAGCTAAAGTGGCTTTTTTCTAAAAGACAGGCAATTAAAAGAAACTGAAAAAAAATAAAACATTTGCACCAGCCTAATAAATGCCAGAGAGAATGTGGAGAAAAGGGAACCCTTTACACTGTTGGTGGGAATGTAAATTAGTACAACCACTATGGAGAAAAATTTGGAGGTTCCTCAAAAAACTAAAAATAGAGCTAATATGTGATCTAGCAATCCCTGTGCTAGGTATATACCCAAAAGAAGGGAAAGCAGTATATCAAAGAGTTATCTGCACTCTCATGTTTATTGCAGCAGTTTTCACAATAACCAAGATTTTGAAGCAACATAAGTGTTCATCGATAGATGAATTGATAAGGAAAATGTGGTATGTATACACAATGGAGTACTATTCAGCCATAAAAGAAATGAGATCCTGTAATTTGCAACAACATGGATAGAACTGGAAGTCATTATGTTAAGTGAAATAATCCAAGCATAAAACGAGAAACTTCATGTGCTCTCACTTGTTTGTGGGAGCTATAGACTAAAACAATTGAACTCATGGAGATAGAGAGTAGAAGGATGGTTAGCAGAGGCTGGAAAGGGTTGCCAGGGGTGAGGAAAAAGTGATGATGGTTAGTGGGTACAAAAAGTAATCAGCACAAAATGAATAACATTTAGTATTTGATAGCACAACACGATGGCTATAGTCAATAATAATTAAATTATACATTTAAAAATAACTGAAAGAGTATAATTGAATTGTCATACAGAGGATAAATGCTTGAGTTGATAGGTACCCCATTTTCCATTATGTGATTATTACACAATGCATGCCTGTATCAAAATATCTCCTATACCCCATAAATATATACACATACTATATACCCATCAAAATTAAAAATAATAAATAATTCAAAAATTTTATAAAAAGCATTCTTCATTTCTGTTACAGTGTTCTTTAGCATTTCTTTTTGGTTCTTTCTCAGAATTTCCATCTCTCTGCTCATGTTGCTCATCTGTTCTTTCATGCTGTCTACTTTATCCATTAGGGCCCTTAGTATGTTAATCATGGTTGTTTTAAATTCCTGGTCTGATCATTCCAACATCCCTGTCATATCTGAATGTAGTTTTGATGCTTGTTCTGTCTTTTCAAAGTATATATATATATATATATATATATTTTGCTTTTTAGTATGTCTTCTAATTTTTTTCTTGAGAGATACACACGACATACTGTGTAAAAGGAACTGTTGCAAATAGTCCTTTAGTAATGTGGTGGTAAGGTGGTGCTGGGAGTGTTCTATAGGCCTATGATTACATCTCAGTCTTTTAGGAAGTTTGTGTCTCTGGACAGTGAACTCCATACTTGCTTTTCACTTGCCCTCTTAGGCGAAACGGGAAGGATGGAATAAGCTGAAGTTGTTATTTCTCTTCTCCCAAGTGAAGGCTATAGGTGTATAGTTGGGTATTTCCATTCCCTCAGGTCAGTTAGGTTTTGATAATGCCCCAGCAGATTAAGCTGTAGCTAAGACTACAGGCACACACCACCACACCCAGCTCATTTTTTTATCTGTATTTTTTGTAGAGATGGTATCTCACTATGTTGCCCAGGACGGTCTCAAACTTCTAGCCTCAAGTGATCCTTCCATCTCAGCCTCCCAAATTTCTGGAATTGCAGGAATGAATCACTACACCTCACCTGGACATCCACTTTCACAAAACAAAAGGGGTGAATCTTGACAGAGACCTCATACCCTTCACAAAAAATTAACTCAAAATGGGTCACAGATCTAAATGTGAAATCTAAAACTATAAGTCTCCTAAAAGGCATCATAAGAGAAAAAATTTAGATGGCCTTGGATTGGCAATAATATTTTAGATATGACAACAAAAGTACAATTCATGAAAGAAATAATTAATAACCTGGACTTTATTAAAATGGAAAACATCTGTTCTAAAAAGGACAATGCCCAGAGAATGAGAAGACAGGCCTCAGGCTGGCAGAGAATATCTGCCAAAGACACATCTAATAAAAAACTGTTATCTAAAATATACAAAGAACTCTGTACCTTCCTTCAATTTTGCTGTTTACCTAAAACCATTTTTTTAAAATTTTCTTTAAAAGCTTTTTGCAAAAAGTGATAATAGGAAAAAATGGCAGATAGAAGGCTGGACTAATTTGCAACTCCCACTCAGATAGACAAAGCAGCATGTGAAGACTTACATCGTGACCTTTTGCTCCAAGAACTACTACAAGGAACATACCAGGCAAGCCAAGAGAATCAACAGATCCTTTGAAAGAAACAGCTTGGGGCTGCAGCCAAAAAGCTGTGAGTGCTCAAAGTGTGTAAGGAGGAAAGTCCACCGCTGAACACACATCCTTACCGGGAACCTGAAAGTCCAGATCACGGGAGAAGGATCTAACCTCACCTGGAGCCGAGACAAATTTAGAGAGCCAAGAGAAATACAGGGGTAGAGGAAGCAGCGGTAAGAGCCCTGTGGGCATTCTTGTTCCCCAAGGAAGCCATTTATGACTTTGTCTCACAGGGGTCCCTGCGGAGGGCTACCAGTGGAATTAGGGAAAGACCACAGGGAGAAGGAAACTTCCAGCTGAACTTTGTAATGGGGTGAACAGGAAGTGGAGATACTAGCACAGAAGCCTTGGCAGGCAGGGAGGCTCAAAACCTGAAAGCCCTGCTTGCTTTTTCAGCAGGGAGGCTTGCAGTCCAAAGCAAATTCTCAGCCCTGCTCACCTGCTGCCAGAAAATAAACTCAGTGCTGTAGTTGGGGGCCCGGTGGAAGTGAGACTGGACTTTCGGGTTGTGTGGAAACTGGATGAGGCCTGTCACTGCTGACTTTCCCCTACTTCCCTGGAAACCTGTAGGACACAGCAGAGGCAGCCATAATCCTCCTCAGAACATAACTCCATTGGCCTGAGAACCACATGTGCACTCCCCACAGCAGCCACAGTAAGCCCTGCCCAAGAAGAGTCAGAACTCAGACATGCCTAACCCTACCCCTACCTGATGGTCTTTCTCTACCCACCCTGGTAGCCGAAGACAAAGAACATATCTCTTGGAAGCTCCATGGCCCCACCTTCCACCTGAGAAACCCGAATACTTATCCAGGTGACCCTGGGGCAAGCTTGTATCCTCCCTATACTACTGCAGCTAATGCTGTCTTGAAAGTGCCACCTCCTGGCTGAAGGCCGACCAACACAAAATGCATGCACTGAACAAAACTACAAGGACACTCACAAAGTCCACTTCATTCCCCTGCTCTCTCCACCAGAACAGATGCTGGTATCCATGGCTGAGAGACCTGAAGACAGATCACGTCACAGGACTCTTTGCAGACACTCCCCAGTACCAGCCTGGAGCCTGGTAGCTCCACTGGGTGGCTACACCCAGAAGGTAAATAATAAGCACTGCAGTTTGACTTTTAAGAAGCTCCATCCCTAGGGGAAGGGAGAGAGCACCACACCAAGGGAGAAGCCCCATGGGCTAAAATCTGAATAGCAGCCCTTGAGCCTCAGATGTCCCCTCCAACATAGTCTATCCAAAAGAGAAGAAACCAGAAAAGCAATTCTGGTAATATGACAAAGCATGGTTCCTTAACACCCGCAAAAGATCACAGTAGCTCACCAGCAATGAATCCAAACCAAGAACAATCTCTGAATTGCCATAAAAAGAATTCAGAAGGTCAATTATTAAGCTACTCAAGGAGGCACCAGAGAAAGGTGAATACCAACTTAAAGAAATTTTTTAAATGATACAGGATATAAATGGAAAAATCTCCAGAGAAATAAATAACATAAATAAAAAATAATCACAGCTTCTGGAAATGAAGAACACATTTACAGAAATGTAAAATACACTGGAAAGTATCAATAATAGAATCAAACAAGTAGAAGAAATAACTTCAGAGCTCAAAGACAAGGCTTTTGAATTAACCCAATCCTACAAAGAAAAAAGATCAAAAAGTAAAAATAAAGTGAATGAAACCTCCAAGAAGTTTGGGATTACATTAAATGACCAAACCTAAGAATAATTGGTATTCCTAAGGAAGAAGAGAAATCTGAAAGTTTGGAAAACATAATTGATGGAATAACCAAAGATAACTTCACTGGTCTTGCTGGAGATCTAGACATTCAAATACATGAAGCTCAAAGAACACTTGGGAAATTCATTGCAGAAAGGTCATCGCATAGGCACATAGTCATCAGGTTATCAAAAGTCAAGACGAAGGAAATCCTACAAACTAGAAGGGATTTAAACCATACCCTAGGATGGATTTAAACTATAACCTAGAACAAATGGACTTAACAGATATTTATAGAACATTCTACCCAACAACTGCAGAATATACATTCTATTCATCAGCACATGGAACTTTCCCCAAGACAGACCGTACGACAGGCCACAAAACAAGCCTTGATAAGTTTAAGAAAATTGAAATTATATCAAGCCACTCTTCCAGACCACAATGGAATAAAACTGGAAATCAGCTCCAAAAGTAACCTTTAAAACCACGCAAATACATGGAAATTAAATAACTTGCTCCTGAACGATCATGAGGTCAACAATGAA
Source organism: Homo sapiens (assembly GCF_000001405.40). Taxonomy (NCBI): domain Eukaryota; kingdom Metazoa; phylum Chordata; class Mammalia; order Primates; family Hominidae; genus Homo; species Homo sapiens. The sequence continues at coordinate 118,640,362 of NC_000005.10, forward strand.
ATCAAGATGGAAATTTTAAGATTCTTTGAACTGAATAATAATAGTGACACAGCCTATCAAAACCTCTGGGCTATGGCAAAAACGGTGCTAAAAGGAAAGTTCATAGCATTACATACCTACATCAAAAAGTCTGAAAGAGCACAAATAAATAATCTAAGGTCACACCACAAGGAACTAGAAAAACAAGAATAAATCAAACCCAAATCCAGCAGAAGAAAAGAAATAACAGAGATCAGGGCAGAACTAAATAAAATTGAAACAAAAAAAGATAAATGAAACAAAAAGATGGTTCTTTGAAAAGATAAAATTGATAGAACATTAACAAGATTAACCAAGAAAACAAGAGAGAAGATCCAAATAAGCTCAATTCAAAAAGAAATGGGAGTTATTACAACAAATGCCACAGAAATACAAAAGATTATTCAAGGCTACTATGAACACCTTTATGCGCACAAACTAGAAAACCTAGAAGAGATGGATACATTCCTGGAAACACAATACCTTCCTAGATTAAACCAGGAAGAAGCAGAAACTCTGAACAGACCAACAGCAAGCAGCAAGATTGAAATGGTAATTGAAAAATTGCCAAAAAAAAAAAAAAAAAAGTCGAGGACTAGACTTCACAGCTGAATTCTATCAGATATTCAAAGAAGAATTGGTACCAATACTATTGACATTATTCCAAAAAAAGAGAAAGAGGGAATCCTCCCTAAATCATTCTATGAAGCCAGTTCTCTAATATCAAAATCAGGAAAAAATATAACAAAACAGGAAAACTACAGACCAATATCCCTGATGAACATAGATGCAAAAATCCTCAGCAAAATACTAGCTAACTTAATCCAACAGCATATGAAAAAGCTAATCCACGATGGACAAGTGGGCCTTATACCAGGGAGGCAGGGATGGTTTAACATATGCAAGTCAATAAATATGATACACAAGATAAGCAGAGCTAAAAACAAAAATTACATAATCTCAATAGATGCAGAGAAAGCATTTGACAAAATCCAGCATCCCTTTATTATTAAAAACCTCAGCAAAATCAGCATAGAAGGGACATACCTTAAGGTAGCAAAGCCATCTATGACAAACCCACAGCCAACATTATACTGAATGGGGAAAGGTTGAAAGCATTTCCCCTGAGAACTGGAACAAGACAAGGATGCCCACTCTTACCATTCTATTCAGCATAGTACTGGAAGCCCTAGCTGAAGCAAACAGACAAGAGAAAGGAATAAAGGGCATCCAAATCGGTAAAGAGGAAGTCAGATTGTTGCTGTTCACCGATAATATGATCGTATACTTAGAAAACCCTAAAGACTAATCAAAAAAGCTCCTAGAACTGATAAATAAATTCAGTAAAGTTTCAGGATACAAAATCAATATACACAAATCAGTAGTACTGCTATACACCAACAGCGACTAAGCTGAGAATCAAATCAAGAACTCAACCACTTTACAATAGCTGCAAAAAGAAATAAAATACTTAGGAATATACCTAACAAAGGAGGTGAAAGACTTCTACAAGGAAAACTAGAAAACATTGCTGAAAGAAAATCATAGACAACACAAACAAATGTAAACACATCCCATGCTCATGGATGGGTAGAATTGATATTGTGAAAATGACCATACTGCCAAAAGCTATCTACAAATTCAATGCAATTCCCATCATAATACCACGATGGTATTTTTTGCTAGTTCTTCACAGAACTAGAAAGAACAATCCTAAAATTCATATGGAACCCAAAAAGATTCCACATAGCCAAAGCAAGACTAAACAAAAAGAACAAATCTGGAGGCATAACATGACCCAACTTCAAACTATACTATAAGGCTATAGTCACCAACACAGCATGGTACTAGCATAAAAAATAGGCAACAAAAGCCAAAATTGAAAAATTGGATCTAATTAAACTAAAGAGCTTCTGCACAGCAAAAGAAACTACCATCAGAGTGAACAGGCAACCTAAAATATGGGACAAAATTTTCGCAAGCTACTCATCTGACAAAGGGCTAATATCTAGAATCTACAATGAACTCAAACAAATTTACAAGAAAAAAACAAACAACCCCATCAAAAAGTGGGTGAAGGATATGAACAGACACTTCTCAAAAGAAGACATTTATGCAGCCAACAGACACATGAAAAAATGCTCATCATCACTGGCCATCAGAGAAATGCAAATCAAAACAACAATGAGATACCATCTCACACCAGTTAGAATGGCGATCATTAAAAAGTCAGGAAACAACAGGTGCTGGAGAGGATGTGGAGAAATAGGAACACTTTTACACTGTTGGTGGGACTGTCAACTAGTTCAACCACTGTGGAAGTCAGTGTGGCGATTCCTCAGGGATCTAGAACTAGAAATACCATTTGACCCAGCCATCCCATTACTGGGTATATACCCAAAGGATTATAAATCATGCTGCTATAAAGACACATGCACATGTATGTTTATTGTGGCACTATTCACAATAGCAAAGACTTGGAACCAACCCAAATGTCCAACAATGATAGACTGGATTAAGAAAATGTGGCACATATACACCATGGAATACTATGCATCCATAAAAAATGATGAGTTCATGTCCTTTGTAGGGACATGGATGAGGCTGGAAATCATCATTCTCAGTAAACTATCGCAAGGACAAAAAACCAAACACCGCACGTTCTCACTCATAGATGGGAATTGAACAGTGAGAACACATGGACACAGGAAGGGGAACATCACACTCTGGGGACTGTTGTGGGGTGGGGGGAGGGGGGAGGGATAGCATTAGGAGATATACCTAATGCTAAATGACGAGTTAATGGGTGCAGCACACCAGCATGGCACATGTATACATATGTAACTAACCTGCACATTGTGCACATGTACCCTAAAACTTAAAGTATAGTAATAAAAAAAAAATAGTCACATAGACCAATGTAACAAAATAGCAAACCCAGAAAAAAAGCCAAATATTTACAGTCAACTGATCTTCAACAAAAACACACACACAAAAAAAAAAAAAAAAAAAAAAAAAAACATAAAATGGGGAAAGGATACCCTTTTCAACAAATGGTGCTGGGATAATTGGCAAGTCACATGTAGGAGAATGAAACTGGATCCTTATCTCTCACCTTACACAAAAATAAATTCAAAATGGATCAAAGACTTAAATCTAAGACCTGAAACCATAAAAATTGTAGAAGATATCATCAGAAAAACCCTTCTAGACATTGGCTTAGGCATAGACTTCATGACCAAGAACCCAAAAGCAAACAGAACAAATACAAAGATAAACAGATGGGAATAAATTAAACTAAAAAGCTTCTGCACAACAAAAGAAATAGCAGCATAAACTGACAACCCACAGAGTGGGAGAAAATCTTCACCAACTATGCATCTAACAAAGGACTAATACCCAGTATTTACAAGGTATGCAATCAAATCAGCAAGAAAAAAACAAACAATTCCATCAACAAGTGGACTAAGGACATGAATAGACAATTCTCAGAAGAAGATACACAAATGGCCAACAAACTTATGAAAAAATGCTCAACATCACTAATGATCAGAGATCAAAACCACAATGCAATACCACCTCACTCCTGTAAAAAGGCCATAATCAAAAAATCAAAAATAACAGATGTTGATGTGGATGTTGTGAAAGCGAACACTTTTACACTGCTGGTGGTAATGTAAACTAGTACAACCCATGTGGAAAACAGTGTGGAGAACCTCTAAAGGACTAAAAGTAGATCCAAAATTTGATTCAGCAATCCCACTACTGGGTATCTACCAAGAGGAAAAGAAGTCATTATATGAAAAGATACTTGCACATGCATGTTTATAGTGGCACAATTCACAATTGCAAAAATATAGAACCAGCCCAAATGCCCATCAACCAACAAGTGGATATATATACACACACCATGGAATACTACTCAGCCATAAAAAGGAATGAAATAATGGTATTCACAGCAACCTGGTTGGAATTGGAGACCATTATTCTAAGCGACGTAACTCAGAAATGGAAAAGCAAACATTGTATGTTCTTACTTATAAGTGGGAGCTAAGCTATCGGAACACAAAAGCATAAAAATGATACAATGGACTTCGGGGACTTGGGGAAAAGGGTGGGAGGGAGATGAGAGATAAAAGACCACACATTGGGTACAGTGTACACTGCTCAGTGACAGGTGCACCAAAATCTCAGAAATCACCACTAAAGAACCTATCACGTAACCAAACACCACCTGTTGCCCAAAAACCTATTGAAATTTTTTAAGTGACAATAATAACGATGCATTGGGTGATTACACATATGGATAAGTGAAATTAATGACAGCAATGTCACAGAAATAGAAATTAGGAATTGGGAATGTTCTTTACTAAGGTACCTGTACTACATGTAAAGCAATATAGTATTATTTAAAGGTGACTTCAATTAATTAAAAATGTATGTTTCAAATTTTATGGAAACCACTGAAACTATTAAAAAGAAGTATAATTGATACTCTATGAGAGGAAATAAAATACAATCCTATAAAGGCTCAGCTAAAAAGAGACAGAAAAAGAAAGGGTAAAGAAATAAACAACAAATGCAATGAATATAAAACAGTTACAAACATGGAAATTATTAATCAAATTATATCAATTATCCCTTTAAATGTGAATTGTCTATAATAATGCATGTATGCACAAAGTTCATCTCAGTGCCTTTCGCAATAGCAAAGATATGGAATCAACTTACACGCCCATCAACGGTAGACCTGATAAAGAAAATGTGGTATCATGAAATACTGCTTAGCCGTAATAAAGAATGAGATCATGCCCTTTGCAGCAACATGGATGGAGCCGAGAGCCATTATCCTAAGCAAACTAACACAAGAACAGAAAACCAAATGCCGAATGTATTTACAAGTGGGAACTAAACACTGAGTACATATGGATGAGAAGAAGGGAACAACAGACCCTGGGGCCTAGTTGAGAATAGAGAATGGAAGGAGGGTGAGAATGGAAAAACTGCCTATCAGGTACTATGCTCATTACCTGGGTGATGAAATAATCTGTACACTAAACCCCTGTGACATGAAATCTACCAGCGGGCGCAGTGGCTCACGCCTGTAATCCCAGTACTTTGGGAGACCAAGGCGGGCAGATCACCTGAGGTCAGGAGTTCGAGACCAGCCTGAACAACATGCAGAAGACTCGTCTCTACTAAAAATACAAAAATTAGTCTGGCATGGTGGTGCATGCTTGTAATCCCAGCTACTCGGGAGGCTGAGGCAGGAGAATCGCTTGAACCCGGGAGGCGGAGGTTGCAGTGGGCCGAGATCGTGCCATTGCACTCCAGCCTGGGCAACAACAGCAAAACTCTGTCTCAAAAAAAAAAAAAAAAAAAGAAGAAGAAGAAGAAAAAAATAAAGAAAAGAAGACATGAAATCTACTTATATAACAAACTTGTACATCTGCCTCTGAACATAAAATAAAAATAATGAAATAAAAATAAATGTGAATGGTCTGAATACACCAACTTAAAAAAAAGGAGATTGTCAGAGTGGATAAAAAAAAGGAAGGCCGGACGCAGTAGTCCATGCCTGTAATCCCACCACTTTGGGAGGCCAAGGTGGGCAGATCACAAGGTCAGGAGTTCGAGACCAGCCTGACCAACATGGTGAAACCCTGTCTCTACTAAAAATACAAAAATTAGCTGGACATGGTGGCTCACACCTGTAATCCCAGCTACTCAGGAGGTTGAGGGAGGAGAATCACTTGAACCCAGGAGGCAGCGGTTGTAGTGAGCTGAGATTGTGCCATTGCACTCCAGCCTGGGCGACAGAGCGAGACTCCGTCTCAAAAAAAAAAAAAAAAAAAAAAAGACACAACTGCATGTTTTCTACAAGAAATCCATTTCAATTATAAAGACTTAGACATGTTAAAATCTTTTAATGACTTTTCATGGTACTTAGAATAATATGCCACATTCCTTACTAAGGGCTACAAGTTCTGTTGTCTGGCCCCTGCTATCTTTATGACTTCATTTCTTATTGCTCTTGTCTTTTGTTATTCTGCTCCAAGATGGAATTTTCTAGGCGTACTTCCACTTTCTGACCTTTCCATACGCTGTTCCCTTCACTTGACATGCTCGGATGTCGTCAGGACTTGCTCCATCACTGCCTTTAGATCATTAAGCAAATGTTACTTTTTCAGAAGGCCTTTCATAATCCCTTGTTTAAAATCTTAACTGCCCCCGCCACATATGTCCTTACCCTGCTTCATTTCTCCATAGCTATAACCTATTTGATGTTCTTACATTTTACTTTTTTGTTTATAAAGGTCTTTATTAACTAGAATAAAAGCCCATGAAAAAGCTATATATATATCTCTTCAGAAATATAATTTTTCTAATCCTATGTATAATAAATAATGCTATATATATAATAAAAATATATATATATTTCTAATGTTATATCCCTAGGGCTTAGAATAGTGCTTGGCACAGAGTTGGTCTCAGTAAGTGTGCATTGCATGTTTGAAGGAAAAATTGTTTTGTTAAATGCTGTTTCCTTAGTGCCTAAAATAATACCTAGAAGAATCGGAGCTAAAAAAAAAAAAAAAAAAAAAAACTTGTTGAATGAGTCGAAGTAACACCGCATTATTTATTAGCTGAGCTTTGGAGAGAAACTCCAGCAAACTTAAGTGAGCTAGGCTGCTGCTCCATGTGGAGGATTCCTTTTCTTAAGCAGGGCTGGCCTCAGATAGGCTCAGACCAAATAGGCCATGAGATCTGCATTGTTTTTTCCGCAGTGTCCCACCAGTGGTGTACTGGAGCCAGTTTGGACCATGATGGGACTATTTACATCACAGAAAGTGGCAGACCCTACAAATTAGTGTTGCCCGCCCCCCATCACCACACTCCTATGCTCCCCTCACTCCCCTGGCTTGGAAAGCTGCCGTTTTACTAGCCCAGCAGTGGGGGCTGGAAGAAGGCAGGAGGAATTTTCTCTTTGTTACATAGTAAAGGAGGACATGAATTTTGACTTACTTGGGGAACCTAAAATACACACACACGCAAACATCCAATACCTGGGTTCCATTCGGACCTACTGGGTTAAAGCAGTGATATATTAGTTTTCTATTGCTGCTGTAACAAATTGCCACGAACTTAATGGCTTAAAACAACAAAAACTTATTCTTACACAGTTGTGAAGGTCAGAGTCTAAAATCAAGGTGTCAGCAAGGCTATGTTCCTCTTCCTGGAGGCTTCGAGAAAGAATCTGGGTTTTTCTTCGTGTTGTTGTTTTTTGGGTGTTTTGTTTTGTTAGGCTTTTCTCAGCATTTAGAGGCCACCTACGTTCCTTGCCTCACAGGCCATTCCTCTTATCACTGCAGCGCCTTCCTTTTATCACCACATCTCCCACTGTGGACTCTGAGCCTCCTCCCTCTCTCTCTTAAGAACGCTTGTGATTACACTGGGCTCACCTGAATGACCTACTCACCTCCAGGTCCTTAATGTAATCATATCTGCAAAATTCCTTTACCAGACAAGGTAAAATCGTCACAGGTGTTGAAGATTAGGGCACGGATACTTTCAGAACCTTTATACAACCTACCACAAATGGTTTTCAAACACTGCTGAACACTAGAGTCACCTGGAGAGCTTAAAAATCCTGATGCCCAGGCTGCATCTCAGAACAGTTAAGTCAGAATTTCTGAGCTGGGACCTAGGCAGTCTTGTACTGAAAACTCTTCAGGTGATTCCAATGTGCAGTCAAGGTTGAAAAACACTGTTAGCGGTTTCAGGATGGGATCCAAGTGTGTTTATTAAAACATTTCCAGTTAAAGAGCACCCCTAATTTTGGCCTCCTATCTTTAAAACTGCATGGACTTTTTAATTTATATTCTGTTCGTGTGTGTCCTTCTCAACCTAAAAAGACTGTGAGTTCCTCAAGTTCAGGGCCATATTTTGCTTATCTTTCTCACCACAGGACAATGTGTAATAAATATTTGTTTAATGCATGAATAAACACTTTTTTAAAAACACTCTTGTTTACACAATTCATCTCAACACTGTTCTCTACATGATGAATGAAATATTTCTAATGCCTGTGGACCCTTAAAAACTTGTTAGAGGCATCAAGGGAGGGCACAGAGAAGGACTGAGTCATTTCAGTGGGAGAGGAAAACTGCTTCATCCATCGTCTCACTTCCCTGTTAGTTAACCCATTTCCTTCGTGAATTTCACCCTTGTGTTGTGCTCCACTTCAGTCTCTGCCTTCGCCTAATACATCCTATAGGATATACAGCATATTCCGTTCAGAGTAAGAGTGTTCCATATTCCCCAGCAATGTGGGTGTTGTAAATTGAGAAAATGGCCCACAGCCAGAGGAAGGTGGTACAAAGTAGTCTGTGTCAAGTTTTGTTTTTTTTTTAATGTGGGCAACTACTTTTTATTTGCATTTTTACTTTTTTCCATCTTTATTGAGGTATAATTGACAAATAAAGTTGCATATATATATATATATATATATATGGTATACAATGTGATGATTTGCTATACTTATATATTGTGACATTATTACTATAATCCAGTTAGTTAACACATCTGTCACCTCACAGTTACCTTTTTTTCTTATTCTTTTTGGTGTGGTGAAACACTTAAGATCTAATCTCCTAGCAAATGTCAAGTATATAAAACTTGTGAACTATAGTCACCATGCTGTGCTTTAGATACCCAGAACTTATAAAACTGCAAGATTTTACCCTTTGACCAGCACATCCTCGTTTTCTCCACCCCAACTCCCAGCTCCTGGCAACCACCATTCTATTCTGTTTCTATGAGCTTGACTTTTTTAGATTCCACATATGAGATCGTGCAGTGTTCGTCCTTCTGTCTGGCTTGTTTCACTTAGCATAATGACCTGCAGTTTCATTCATGTCATCACAAATGGCAGGATTTCCTTCTTTTTACAGCTGAACAACATTACAGTGTGTTTTTCTTTACCCATTCATCTATTGATGGACAGTTAGTTTGTTTCCATATCTTGGCTATTGTGAATAATGCTGCAGTGAACATAGGAGCATAGATAGCTCTTTGAGATACTGATGTTGTTTCTTACATGATACTTCTATCTTTAATTTTTTGAGGAACCTTCATACCGATTTCCAAAATGGCTGTACAATTTACATTCCCACTAATCAGCAGCTACTTTTTTATATGTATAGGAGTTACCTAGACATAGATGTGTATTGTGAGGTTTTAAAGGGATATGATTCTACTTTGAGTGGGAGACACTGATCCATCAGCGGGTAGAGAAGGCAGGTGATTTTCAAGAGGAGTCAATGACTCCCTGCTTTTTTCCCTCATTCACACTGCTCTGGCTACAGTGACCACCTTCTTCTCTGTAAACATTCCAGGCAAGGCCAAGCATTCTTCTGCCTGCAGGCCTTTGATCCAGCTGGTTGTTTCTTCATCTCAATTGCTATTCCCCAAGATGTCTACTGAGCTATCTCCCTCACCAAATGCAAGTCTTTCTCCATGTGGTGATCCCCACCATGCTCCTGTTCCCCTTACCGTTCTCTACTTCTTTTTTCCTAAGGTACTAACCACAATATGGTAACACATAAGAGTTTCATTTTTTTAATTTTTTACTCCAGCTGCTAGAATGAATGTTAAGTCCTGCAAGAGCAGAGATCTTTGTCTGTTTTGTTCACTGAAGTACCTCAAGCTCCCAGGACAGATCCTGGCACAGAGGTTGTACTCAAAAAATATTTTTTAAATAAATGAATGAGGAAAAAGAATTTCAATCGAAACTAAAGAAACACAGAGAATGATGCTATAGTAAGAAACTATGGAACTAAGCAATAAGAGCATAATATGGAGAAAATAAGATACATGGAGAGAGAGAAAACCTATATCCATGCCAGTGACAGAGGAGATATAAAGAAGTCAGCTATGAGGAAGGAGGTTGAGATGTCAATGCAGTTTTGGTTAAAGTTAAAATGGAAAAATTATGGTCCAATGGAAGAGACTTATTACTCCTGAGGAATCCAGAGAAAGGCTGAAGACAGTAATTTAACTTAGGAATTGGAGGTGGAAGTGTATAGGTACTAATCATTTATAAGCTAAAAGTTCAGGGCTTTCGAAAAAGGCTAGAGAAGACAAAAGGGCATTTAAGGAGAGTGCCGACAAGCTGGGCCTGGGAAGAATTGTGCTTAATATATTTATACCTGAGCTGTCACCAAAAATGGTAATGGTGCGATTGAGTGCTTTAATTAAATCTGAGCTATGCTGACCGTACAATGTGAAAGTATAAGTATTAGGCTACATCAGGGGAATATGATTTGTGTCTGAAATTTCGCCACTCTCTGGCTGTTCATCTGGCTTGTGTGTGCTGCACTGCTCTGAACAATCAATGTTTGTAGCTGGGTAAGTGTGGAGGAGGCAATCTAGAAGCAATATCTCTAGGGATATTAGAAACAGGGGAGTATATAGATGGGGGGACCAAAATCAAGGATATGAGATAGCACTACTTCACACACACACACACACACACACACACACATACACACACACACTTCTAATTGCTGTTTACCCAGTCAAGATCAGTAGAGACCATACTTTATACTATTCCTGTTTGCCTTGTGGAATTTAGCAGAGTGATAAGTACTTGAAATTGGTAACATTGATATCTGGGGATGGCTAGTGATATAAGGAGTATTTTTGGCAAAGGGTTTAAGAAGAGTAGGATTTCAAAAGTAATTGCTATAGTTCCCCGCCCCACCCCACCCTACACTGGGAAAGAACTGCAGGCTGACCTCGGACTATTAGGTAATATCACCTTATTGATTACATGAACCTGCTTAAACATCAGCGTTTTGTAAGTCTTACCAGGGGAAGGAGTTTCTCTAAAAAGCTGCCTGCCACTGTTGAGTCCTCAGCAAAAGTGAGCAACAGTCATCTTTTTTTAAAATTTTCTACTCCAGACAAATCAGGACATTTCTGATAAGTCAAACAATTCCACCTGTCTCCAGACTCAGCGTTTTGGGAGGAGGGGAGGATGAATGGCTTGAAGGATCAAGGTAAAGTGACACTGGGTAAAGCTAAAGCTTCCCCCTTCATTTTATTCTTCAGATGATTGCTTCTGAAATGGCTCTTTAAAATAAGAAAATGACTGCTAACACTATCATAAAAAGTCTTTTGAAGTCAAAACACCTTCTTCTCCTTGTCCCTGAATCTCGCTGATGAGCTTTGATCACTGGCATCATCCCAATCTTGTTTTGCTTTGATTGCTGACATAATGGATATGTTGTTATTTTCTGTAAACTCTACCAGTAGAGCTCAAATAAACTAATTAGCATCGAGGTTAATTAATAGGGAATAAATTGGCCTCATGAAAGGACAGATATGTATACAACGTTATTATGCACTGAAGACTGGAAACTGAAAGGGAGAAAGATAGCATATGAGAAGACTGTGTTGCTGTTTTTATAGGATTAATAAGGCCAAGCTGTATTTATGTGCTTATTGAGAAATGGCACACTTAATCTGATGTATCTTATTGTGAAGAACATTCTGAAAACAGGCAATATCCTCTTCATTAGTAAGATACTGTGGCAGCCTTTTCTCTTCTTCTAAGTTATTTACTCTTTGGTGCTTTGGGAAATAAAACTTAGAAAGCTGGAAGACAGAACATCATGCTCTCCCTGACCCAAAGACATATACTAAAGGATAAAAGAGAGCAACATAGATAATATCAGCAGATTAAACACCAAGCACATTAGCCCTTTGAGTGTGTATTACACCAAAAAATTGCAAAAAAAAGATTGCTTTGTTGAATCAAAAACACACAGAATTTAGAAACTCACTTCATATCAGTTGCCAAATGAATATTGCTTATTATACTTTTTAGCTCTTTAAATAAAAATTATGACAGGAAAATACTCAATATTCTAGATGTCATAGTGATAATTCTAAGCAAAAACATGGACCAGCATGCAAAAGGCCTGTTTTTTAAGGCCATTGTTTCCATTTCAACCTGAAAGGGAAGGAAAAAAATAAATATTCTTGTACCCTCTGCACAGCCTGGCTTCTGGTATGAACATTTTTAACGTAAACAGTGGACAGTTTTACTACTACTTTTATTGACTTCTATCAGTGCTGACCATTGGTGAGCACCTTGGGCGATATCTACAAAAGAAAAAAGACAATGGAGGAAAATAAAAAGCCAAGAATAAAAGCTGTCCCCAAATACGAGGTATTAGTTATAGATTCTGAGTGTGAAAGGTTCAGGAAAATGGAAGCAGGAAGTACGGCAAGGAAAGCATGTTGTGGGAACTTCAGAGACATTGTTCAAGGTGTTGGTGGAAAATTTTATTTTTAGCAGACGCAAAAAGGTAGAATGACAATGTTAGCTATGCGTCTGAGAATATCTAAAGGGAAGACTGGCCAGGAAGATGGCTTGAGGAAAGATAAGGAAGCTGTGGGAAGACTCCAGTAGCCAAAAATAGATTTGACTTTTTTGTTTTGTCCAATTTCTAGGTAAAACTTCCTTTTGTGATGGGGGAAAAATGGAAATGCATTTCTTATTGCCAGGCTGAATGCTTGGCCAGAATACAACTCACCCGTGGGCTGCTAACAATCCACGCGCCTTTAGCAAATCCAGGTCTTGATAGCATAGTGTGCTGGGGACAGCTGGCTGCCTAATGCCTCATCATGACGCTTGGAATGGTGAAGTTAAAAGTACCGACCTTCTGAAAGAACAGTTTGGGGAAGGCAGTAAATGATATCTGCTTGTTGTTGTTGTTGTTGTTAACAGCCTGCTTAGTTTTGAGTTGCTCTCAAGGGCAGTTTTTGAGGCTTCCTACCATCTCTGATGGCAACTATAAAGATATTTCCTGTTGTATTTCATTTTCTTACATTTTTTTTTCCTTTAGCTATTCCTTCAGTTCAGGACACTTATCAGGGCCCATTACCTGCTATTTACATTGGCTTGTTATTTAAACCTCTTTGGGCCTTGAAAATGTGAGGCCTTAAGAAGAAATGAATCATAGAATTTTAGGGTTGGAAAGAGACCAGGAAGGTCAACATTTATCATTTTTATTTACTCTAAGGCTCTTAAGACACTTTACAAAGATGATTGCTCCTGAGCTGGAGAATGAAGTGGACTAGAAATAAAGAATCTAGCAACTCTGAGAACTGAATTTGTTCTAATGCCGGAATTCCCTATTGGTTAGATTTTAACAGAATCTGATCATCTGGGATTATAAAAAGTAACAACTTTCATGGTGTCAGTGGGCCTTTCAGGGGCAAATATGGAGCCAAAAAGCTGCCATTTGAGAGGGGTGCTCCCCTGAAAGCAGTAACAGGGCTCTACAATGTGATGGGAAAACGATGTTTACTGCCAGCTTTTTTTATGCTGAAACAGGGAGGTGCTTTATCTGTGACCAGCCCCATGACAGGTAGCTGGTTTTACCTACACACTTAAAATGAACATGAAAATTTCTTAGAAAAATTGGGAGGTAGTTTATTATCACTTAAAAGAGACATTTTTTACGTTTCAGCAGCAAAAAAAGAATGCTGGAATGAATATACTCATGCTATGCCAAGAAGTGATACTGAAATTTAGCATGTGATAGTTTTAGAAGACTGAGAAGAAGCAAAGCTGGATTTTCCTAGGCCATTTAAAGATCTTGCTCAGAAACTGAATTCTATTGTAGATTGCCCAAGAAAGGTCTCCAGAGTCTTTCCAATCTAAGGATCTCCCTCAGCTGGGAGGCAGGATAGTCTGTAAGGACTTCTGCACATGTGCATGCACTAGCAACTGAATGGAATAAAAGCTTATTTGGACCTTCTATGTGGCAAACATTGTGCTAGATCCTGGGAATGGAAAGGCAAAGTAGATTCAGTCCCTGCCTAGAGGCAGAAAACGAAAGTGTAGATGGATAGTCTGCTGAGTGTGACTTGAGTTTTCTTTTCTCTGCTCTAGTTGAAGAAGGTCTAAATTATGATTTTTTGTCACCATTGGGAGGGTAAATCTTTCCGTTGTGGTTAAACATTTTAAATAACTTTTATTTTTTAGAGAAGTTTTAGGTTTACAGCAAAATTTAGAGGATAGGTACAGATATTTCCCATATACCCTCTGCTGCACACTTGCAAAGCCTCCCCCATTATAAGCCTCCCCCACCGGAGTGGTACATTTGTTACAACTGATAAACCTTCACTGGCACATTATAACCCAAAGTCCATAGTTTACATCAGTGTTAATTCTTGGTGTTGCACATTCTCTGAGTTCGGACAAATATACAATGACTTGTATCCATAATTACACTATCACATAAAGTAATTTCACTGACTTAAACATCTGTGCTCTATCTATTCCTCCCTCTCCCCCACCTCCCACCCCCAATCCCTGGCAACCACTAATCTTTTTACTGTAGCCATACTTTTTCCTTTTTCAGAATGTCATATAGTTAGAGTCATACAGCATGTAGTCTTTTCAGATTTCTTTTTTCAACTACTGATACTTTTTATCGCTAAAAAGTATTCCATTGCCTGGAGGTACCACAGTTTATCTACTTACCTACTGAAGGATATCTTGGTTGCTTCCAAGGTTTAGCAAATACAAAAAAAAAAAAAAAAAAAAAAAAAGCATGCTATCAACATCTGTGTGCAGGTTTTTGTGTGGACATAAGTTTTCAACTCCTTTGGGTAAATAGCAAGGAGCACTATTGCTGGATCATATGGTAGGAGTATTTCTAGTTTTTTAAGACCTCCAAATTGTCTTCCAAAGTCGCCATAGCATTTTGCATTCCCACCAGCAATGAATGAGAGTTTCTGTTGTTCCACAGCCTAGTCAGCATTTAGTGTTTAGTGTTCTGAGTTTTGGCCATTGTAATAAGTATGCAAAGGCATCTCACTGTTGTTTTAATTTGTATTTCCCTGATGATCTGTAATGAGGAGCATCTTTTCATATGCTTAATTACCATCTGTAAATCTTTGGAGAGTTGTCTGTCAGGGTCTTTGAACCATTTCATAAATTGGGTTGTTTGAGTTCTTACTGTGGAGTTTTAAGAGTTCTTTGTCTATTTTTGATAACAGTCCTTTATCAGACATGTATTTTGCAAATATTTTCTCCCAGTCTGCAGCTTGTCTTCTCATTCTCTTGATATTGTCTTTTGCAGGGCAGAAGTTTTTAATTTTAATGAAGTCCAGTTTACCAATTATTTATTTCATGGCTCTTGTCTTTGGTGCTCTATCTAATATGCATATTACATTGAAATAACCCTAGGTTTTCTCCTATGCTATTTCCTAGTAGTTTTATATTTCACATTTCAGTCTGTAACCTATTTTGAGTTCATTTTTGTGAAGAGTAAGGTCTATGTCCAGATTCACTTTTTCAAATGTGGATATCCAATTATTCAATCACAATTTTTTAAATTGCAAATTAACTATTTATAATTGCATATATTTATGTACAAAGTGATGTTACCAATTTGTGATAAAATGTGGAATAATTAAATCAAGCTAATTAACCTATGCATCATCTCAAATATGTATTATTCATTGTGTTGAGAAAATTTGAAATTAACTCTCAGCATTTTAGAATAGTACAGCACACTAATATTAACTATATTCACAATGCTGTGTAATAATTCTCAAAAAAAAACCTTATTTCTCATGTCTGAGATTTTGTCCCCTTTGACTATCGTGTCCCCGTTTCCCCCAACCCCATCCTCTACAGATATCATTCCACTCTCTGCTTCCATGAATTCAAACATTTTAGATTCCACATATAAGTGAGAACAGTGCAGTATCGTCTTTCTGGGCCTGGCTTATTTCACTTAGGATAATGTTCTCCGATTTCATCAATTTGTCGCAAATGACAATTTCCTTCTTTTTAAAGGCTGAATAGAATCCCATTATGTATATGTTCCATATTTTCCTTATCCACTCATCTATTGATGGACACTTATATTGATTCCAAAATTTGGCTATTGTGAATAGTGCTGCAATAAACATGAGAGTGTAGACATCTCTTTGACAAAGTAATTTCAAATATTTTGAGAAAACACTCACAAGTGGAATTTCTGGATCATATGATAGTTTTGTTTTTATCCTTTTGAGGAACTTTCATAATGTTTTCCATAATGGCAGTATATTAGTCTGTTCTCACATTGCTAAAAGAACTACCTGAGACTGAGTAATTTATAAAGAGGTTTAATTGGCTCACAGTTCCACAGGTTGTACAGGAGGCATGGATGAGGAGGCCTCAGGAAACACAATCATGGTGAAGGGCGAAGGGTGAAGGGGCAGCAAGCACATCTTCATGTGGCAGTATGAGAGAGTGAGCAAAGGGGGAAGTGCTACACACTTTTAAACATCCAGATCTTGGGAGAACTCACTATCACAAGAACAGCAAAGGGGAAATCTATCGCCGTGATCCAATAACCTCCCACCAGGTTCCTCCCCCAGCATGGGCATTGCAATTCAACATGAGATTTGGGTGGGGACACAGAGCCAAACCATATCATTCTGCCCCTGGCCCCTCCCAAATCTCAGGTCCTTCTCACGTTTCAAAACACAATCATGCCTTCCCAACAGTCCTCCAAAGTCTTAACTTATTCCAGCATTAACTCAAAAGTCCAAGTCCAAAGTCTTATCTGAGACAAGGCAAGTCCCTTCTGCTTATGAGCCTAAAAAAATAAAAAACAAGTTAGTTCCAAGATAAAACTGGGGTATGACATTGGTTAAATGCCTCCATTCCAAAAGGGAGAAACTGGCCAAAACAAAGGGGCTACAGGCCCTATGCAAGTTCAAAACCCAGCAGGGTAGTCATTAAATCTCAAAGCTCCAAACTAATCTCCTTTGACTCCATGCCTCACATCCAGACCACACTGATGCAAGGGCTGTGCTGCCAAGGCCTTGGGAAGCTCCCCTGTGGCTCTGCAGGTTACAGCCCCCATGGCTACTTTCACGAGCTGGTGTTGAGTGTCTGCGTCTTTTCCAGGCACATAGTGCAAGATGTCAGTGGATCTACCATTCTGGGGTCTAGAGGACAGTGGCCCTCTTCTTACAGCTCCACTAGGCAGTGCCCCAGTGGGGACTTGGTGTAGGAGCTCCAACCCTACATTTCCCCTTCACACTGCCATAGTAGAGGTTCTCCATGGACTTCTGCCTGGACATCCAGATCTTTCCATATATCCTCTGAAATCTAGGCAGAAGCTTCCAAGCCTCAAACTCTTGTCTCTTGTCTTCTGTTCACCTGCAGGCACAACACCACATGGAATCTGCCAAGACTTAGGGCTTGCACCGTCTGAAGCCACAGCCTGAGCTGCAACTTGGCCCCTTTTAGCCATGGCTGGAGCTGGAGTGGCTGGGACAAAGGATGCCATGTCTCAAGGCTGTACAGAGCAGCAGGGCCCAGAGCCTGGCCCACAAAACCATTTTGTCCTCCTAGGCCTCTGGGCCTGTGATAAGAGAGGCTACTGAGAAGTTCTCTGAAATGTCCTGGAGATATTTTTCCCATTGTCTTAGCTATTAACATTAGGCTCCTCTCTATTTATGCAAATATCTGCAGCCAGCTTGAATTTATTCCCAGAAAATGGGCTTTTCTTTTCTACCACATGCTCAGGTCACAAATTTTCCAAACTTCTATTCTCTGCTTCCTTTTTGAATATAAGTTCCAATTTCAGACCATCTCCTTCTTCATGCATATGAGCATACACTTTTAGAAACACCAGGTTACATCTTTAATGCTTTGCTGCTTAGAAATTTCTTCTACCCAACATCCCAAATCATCTCTCTCAGGTCCAAAGTTCCACAGATCCTGAGAGCAGGGGCACAATGTTTCCAGTCTCTTCGCTAAAGCATAGCAAGAGTGGCCTTTACTCTGGTTCTCAATAAGATCCTCATCCCCATCTGGGACCACCTCCACTTGGACTTCACTGTCCATATCACTATCAGCATTTTGCTCACAGCCATTCAACAAGTCTCTAGGAAATTCCAACTTTTCCTTCATTTTCTTGTGATCTTCTGAGCCCTCCAGACTATTCCAATCTCTGCCTGTTACCCAGTTGCATCCACATTTCCAGGTATCTTTATAGCAATACCCCACTTCTCTTGCACCAATTTTCTGCAATAATCTCTTCTCACATTGCTATAAAGAACTACCTAAGATTGGATAATTTATAAAGAAAATAGATTTGACTCACAGTTTCACAGACTGTACAGGAGGCATGGCTGCGGAGGCCTCACAATCATGGTGGAAGGGTGAGGGGAAGCAAGCATGTCTTCACATAGCGTCAGGAGAAAGAGAGAGTGAAGGGGGAGGTGCTACACACTTCCAAAGAACCAGATGTCATGAGAACTCACTCACTATCATGAGAACAGCAAGGGGGAAATCTGCCCCCACGATCCAATTACCTCCCATCAGATCCCTCCCCAACATTGGGAATTACAATTCGACATGAGATTTGGGTGGGGACACAGAGTCAAACTAT
The DNA here is from genome assembly GCF_000001405.40 of Homo sapiens. Taxonomy (NCBI): domain Eukaryota; kingdom Metazoa; phylum Chordata; class Mammalia; order Primates; family Hominidae; genus Homo; species Homo sapiens. Next base: position 118,658,862 of record NC_000005.10, read on the forward strand.
ATCAGGTGGCACTAATTTACATTCTCACCAACAATGTACAAGGGTTTCCTTTTCTCCACATCCTCACCAACACTTTTTATCTTTTGGGTAATAACCATTCTGATGTGTGTGAAATAGTATCTCATTGTGGTTTTAATTTGTATTTCTCTAATAATTAGCCATGATAGCTTCTATTCATATCACTGTTGGTCACTTGTATGTCTTCTTTTGAGAAATGGCTATTCAAATCCATTGCCCACTTTTTAGTTGGGATTTTTGTTTTCTTGCTATCGAGTTGTTTGAGTTCCTTATAGACTTCGGATATTAACCCTTTATCAGATATATAGCATACAAATATTTTCTCCCAATCTGTAAGTTGTCTCTTCAATCTGTTAATTGTTTCCTATGATACACAGAAGATTTTTAGTTTTATGAAACCTCATTTGTTTCTTTTTGCTTTTGTTGCTTGCCCTTCTGGGGTCATAACCTGGAAATCATTGTCAGACTAATGTCACTGAGATTTTCTCCTTCGTTTTCTTAGATTAGATTACAGTTTAGTGTCTTACATTTTAGTCATCAATCCATTTTATTTTTGTATATATGGTGAGAGAAGGGCTCAATTTTATTATTTTGCATGTGAGTATCCAGTTTTCCCAGCACCATTTATTGAAGAGATTATTCTTTTCCTATTGTGTATCCTTGGCACCTTTGTCAAAAATCAACTGACCATAATGCATAGGTATGTTTCTGGGATGTCTGTTCTGTTCTATTGGGTCAATCTGTCTTTTTTTTTTTTTTGCCAGTACTGTGTTATTTTGATTACAATAGCTTTGCAGTACAGTTTTAAATCATGTGATGTTATACCTCCATCTTTGTACTTTTTGCTTACAATTGCTTTGGCTATTTGAAGGTTTATAGCTCCATCTGTATTTTGGAATCACTTATTCTATGAAAAATTTCATTGGTTTTTCTATAGGGATTGCATTGAATCTGAGATCACTTTGGTAGTATGAACATTTTAACAATATTAATTCTTACAATCTGTAAACATGAGTTATCTTTCCATTTATTTGTGTCTTCTTCAATTTTCTTCATCAATGTCTTACAGTTTTGAGTGTACGGGTCTTTCATCTCCTTAATTAAATTTATTCCTAAGTATCCCATTTTATTTTTGTAGCTGTTGTAAAAAGGGTTGCTCTCTTGATTTCTTTTTTCAGACAGTTTGTTGGTGGTGTATAAAAACACTGATGATTTTTGTATATTGTTTTGTATCCTGCAACTTTACTAAATTTATTAGTTTTAACAGTTTTTTGGTAGTCTTTAGGGTTTTCCATATATAAGATCTTGTCATCAGCAAACAGTGACAATTTCATTTTTTCCTTTCCTATTTGGATGCCTTTTACTTCTTCCCTAATTGCTCTGACAAGGACTTTCAATACTACACTGAATAGAATTGGTAACAATGGACATCCTCATCTTGTTCCTGATATTAGAGGAAAGGCTTTCAAATTTTGCCATTGAGCATAATGCTCAATGTAGGCTTCTCATAGATGGCCTTTATTGTGTTGAGGTACATTCCTTCTGCCTCTTATTTAGGGAGTTTTTATTACGGAAAGATGTTGAATTTTGTCAAATGCTCTTTCTGTGTCTAATCAGGTGGTCATACAGTTTTTGTTCTTCTTTCTGTTAATGTGGTCTATCACATTTATTGATTTGTGTATGTTGAACCATTCTTGTATCCCAGGGATAAACCCCACTTGACAATAGTAGATGACCCTCTTAATGTGTTGTTGAATTTGGTTTGCTAGTATTTTGTTGAAGAGTTTTACATCTATGTTTATCAAGAATAGTGACCTGTAATTTTCTTTTCTTCTAATGGCCTTGTCTGGCTTTGGTATCAGGGTACTGCTGGCCTTGTAAAAAGATATTGGAAGTATTTCTTTCACTTCAATGTTTGAAACAGCTTGAGAAACATTAGTATTAGTTTATGTTTAAATATTGGTAGAATTAAGCAGTTGAAGCCATTAGATCCTGGGCATTTCATTCATATGAGACTATTTATTACTGATTCAATCTCCTAATTTAATTATTGGTGGTTCGGGTTTTCTATTTCATCATGATTCAGTCTTGGTAGGTTGTATATTTCTAGGAACTTATGCATTTCTTCTAGGTTATCCTATTTGTTGGCCTATAATTGTTCATCGTAGTCTCTTGTGATCTTTGGTATCCCTGCTGTCTCAGTTGTAATGTCTCCTCTTTCATTTCTAATTTAATTTATTTGAGTCTTCTTTTTTTCCTTGGTCTAGCTAAACATTTGTTGATTTTGTTTAACTCTAAAAAAAAACTCAGTTTTTTTATTTCTTCTATTTCTTTTACTCTCCATTTTATTTATTTCTGCTCTAATCTTTATTATTTCCTCCCTTCTACTAACTTTGGTCTTAGTTTGTTCTCTTCTTAGTTCCTTGAGGAGCAACATTATGTTATTTGAGCTCTTTCTTCTTTTTGATATAGGCATTTATTGCTGCAAACATTGATCTTACTGCTTTTGCTGTATTTCATAAGCTTTTGGTATGTTGTGTTTCCATTTTTGTTTGTCTTAAGATGTTTTTTATTTCCCCTTTAAATTCTTCATTGATGCACTGATTGTTCAGGAGAGTGTTGTTTAATTTCCACCCATTTGTGAATTTTTTGAAATTCCTCCTGTTATTGATTTCTAGTTTCAAACCATGATAATCAGAAAATATATTCGATACAATTCCAGTCTTCTTAAATTTAAGGCTTGTTTTGTGCCCCAACAGGTGACCTGTCCTGGAGATTGTGCCATGTATGTTTGAGAAGAACACCACAATCTGCTGAAAAGACTATCTTTACTCCATTACATTACCTTTGTTCTGTTGTCAAAGAAGTTTACTATACTTACGTGGGTCTATTTCTAGGCTCTCTATTCTGTTCCATAGATCTATTTGTCTATTCTTTTGTCAATTCTATTCTATATCTTGATTACTGTAGCTTTATAGTCAGCCTTGATGTCAGGTAAAAACTGGATCATATTGCTGAATCATATTATAAAAGTATGTTTACTTTTGTGTCAGTCTTCCAATTTTGTTTTTCTCCTACAATATTGTGTTAGCTATTCTGGGTCTTTTGTCATTTCATATAAACCTTAGAAGTAATTTGTCAATATCCACAAACTAAATTATTGGAATTTGTTTTGAGATTGCTTTGAATCTATACATCAAGTTGGAAAGAAATGACAGTTTGACAATATTGAGTCTAACTATCCATGGTTATGGGATATCTATTAATTAATTTATTTATTTATTTATTTATTTCAGTCTTCTTTTATTTCCTTCATTTGAGGTTTGTAGTTTTCCTCATACAGGCCTTACACATATTTTGATAGATTTATATCTAAGTGTTTCTTTTTTGGTACTAGAGTAATGGTATTGTGTTTTTATTTTTAAATTCCATTTGTTCAATGCTGTTACACAGAAAGGCAGTTAACTTTGTTATATTCACCCTATATTCTGGAACATATCTATAATCCCTTATTAGTTCCAGGAGAATGTTTTGTCAGTCATTCAGATTTTCTATATAGACGATCAAATCATCTGCAAACAAAGATAGTTTTATTTATTTTTTCCCAATTAGTATACCTGTTATCATCTTTTCTTGTCTTATTGCATTAGCCAGAACTTCCAGCATGATGTTGAAAAGGAGTGGTGGGAGGACATATCCTTGCATTGTTCCCAATGTAAGTAAGAGAACTTCTAGTGTCTTACCAGTAGTATGATGTTGCTGTAGGATTTTTGTAGATTATTTTTTCTCAAGTTTAAAAGGTTCCCTCTATTTGTTGTTAACTAAGAGTTTTTATCATGAACGAGTGTTAGATTTGTCAAATAAATTTTCTACATTTGTTTATATAATCATGTGATTTTTCTTCTTTAGCCTTCTGATGTGAGGAATTTTATTACTTGATTTTAAAATATTGAACCAGCCTTGCACACCTGAAATAAATCTCACTTTGGGAAGTATATAATTATTTTCAGACACCGTTAGATTTAATTTGCTAATATTTGTTGAGGATGTTTGCATCCACATTCATGAGAGATAGTGATCTGTAGTCATTCGTGGGAAATATTGACCTGTGTACTTCATTCGTGGGAAATATTGATCTTTTTTGTAATGTCTTGCCTGGTTTTGGTATTAAGGTAATGCTGATCTATGAATCTGTTAGAAAATATTCATCTCCTTCTATCCTCTGAAAGAGATTACAGAAAATTTATACAATTTATTTCTTGATGTTTGGTGGAATTTACCAAGAAATCTCTCTGGGCTTCATGCTTTCTGTTTGGAAAGTTATTAATTAATAATTTAATTTCTTTAATAGATACAGACCTATTCAGATTGCTTATTTCTTCTTGTGTGAGTTTTGGAAGATTATCTTTCAAGGAATTGGTCCATTTCATCTATGTTACAAAATTTGTGGAGATGCTGTTTTTCATAGTATTCTCTTATTATCATTTTAACGTTTATCATTTAACATTCTCTGTTTTCTTAGTTTGGCTTGAGAGAGGCTTATCAGGGTTTTTTGTTGTTCTTGATTTTTCAAAAACCACTGTTGGTTTTATTGATTTTCTCTACTGGTTTCCTGTTTTTGCTTTAATTTATTTATGCTCTAATTTTTATACTTCTTTTCTTCTCATTTTGGATTTAATTTGCTCCTCTTTTTCTAGTTTCCTAAGGTAGAATATTAGATTATTGATTTTAGATCTTTCTCCTTTTCTTATATAAGCATTTAATATTATAAATGTATCTCTAAGTACTGTTTTCTCTACATTCCACAAGTTTTAATAAATTGTTTTCATCCTTATTTAGTTCAAAATACTTTTTTAATTTCTCTTAAGATGGCTTCTTTGAACTAAGTGCTATTTAAAAGGATGTTGTTTATTCTCCAAATGTTTTGGAATTATTTAGTTATTCCATTATTTATTTCTTATTTAATTCCACTGTGGTCTGAGATTACACATTGTATAATTTCTATATTTTTTAATTTGTTAAGCTGTATTTTATGACCTAGAATGTGGCCTATCTTTGTCATTATTCCATGTGAGTTTGAGAATAATGTGTATTCTGCTGTCGTTGGATGAACTAATCTATAGATGTTAATTCTATACAGTTGGTTGATGGTATTGTTGAGTTCGACTCTGTCCTTATTGACTTTCTGCTTGCTGAATTCATTTCTGATAGAGAGGGGTTAAAGTCTCCAACTGTAATAGGGGATTTATCCATTTCTCCTTGCAGTTCTATTAGTTTTTGCATCACATAGTTTGACACACTGTTATTAAGTGTATACATGTTAAATATTGTTATGTCTTCCTAAATAATTATTTAATCTTTATGTAATATTTGTATAATCGCTGATAACTTTCCTTGCTTTCAAGTCTGCCCCAACTGAAATGAATACAGGTACTCCTGCTTTCTTTTGATTAGGGTTAGCATGGTACATCTTTCCTCACCCATTTATTTTTCATCTATATGGGTTTTTATATTTAAAATGAGTTCCATCTCTTCATGATAAAAACTGACAACAAACTAGGCATCAAAGAAATATATCTGAAAATAATAAGAGCCATCTATGACAAACCCACAGCCAAACCCACATCATACTGAACAGGCAAAAGCTGGAACCATTCTCCTTGAGAACTGGAACAAGACAAGGATGTGTATCCACTCTCACCACTCCTGTTCAAATAGCACTGGAAGTGCTGGCCAGAGCACTCAGGCAAGAGAAGGAAATAAAAGGCATCCAAACAGGAAAAGAATAAGTCAAACTACCTCTCTTCATAGGTGATATGATTCTATACTTATGCCTAGAAAACTCTAAAGACTCCATAAAAAGGATCCTGGAACTGATAAATGACTTTAGTAAAGTTTCAGGATACAAAATCAATGTACAAAAATTGGAATTATTTTTACACACCAATAACATTCCAGCTGAGAGCCAAATCAAGAATGCAATCCCATTTACAATCGCCACACACACACACACACACACACACACACAAATACGTAGGAATACATCTAACAAAGAAGGTGAAAGACCTCTGCAGGGAGAACCACAAAACACAGCTGAAAGAAACCATAGAGGACACAAACAAATGGAAAAATATTCCATGCTCATGGAATGGAAGAATCAATATCATTAAAATGGCCATACTGCCCAAAGCAATCTACAGATTCAGTTTTATTCTTGTCAAACTACCTATGTCATTCTTCAGAGAATTAGAAAAGAACTATTCTAAAATTTATAAGAAATGGAAAAAAAGAGCCTGAAAAGCCAAATCAATACTAAGCTAAAAGGACAAAGCCTGTAATCCAGCACTTTGGGAAGCCAATGCAGGTGGATTGCTTGAGGTCAGGAGTTCGAGACCAGCCTGGCCAATATGGTGAAACTCCATCTCTACCAAAAATACAAAAATTACCCAGGCATGGTGGTGCATGCCTGTGATCCCAGCTTCTTGGGAGGCTGACACATGAGAATCGCTTGAACCCGGGAGGCAGAGGTTGCAGTGAGCCAAGATTGCACAACTGCACTCCAGCCTGGGTGACAGAGTGAGACCCCATCTCAAAAAAAAAAAAAAAAAAGACAAACCAGAGGCATCACAATACCCAACTTTAAACCATACTATAAAGCTACAGTAATCAAAATAGCGTGATACTGGTACAAAAACAGACCCGTAGACCAATGGAACAGAATAGATAACCCAGAATTAAAGGTGCATAACTGCAACCATCTGATCTTTCTTTGACAAGGCTGACAAAAATATGCAAAGGGAAAAGGACTCCATATTCAAGAAATGATGCTGGCATATCTGGCTAGCATATGCAGAAGAATGAAACTGGACTTTTACCTTTCATCCTATACAAAAACTAACTCAAGATGTAGTAAAGATTTAGATATAAGACATCAAACTATAAGAATACTTGAAGAAAACCTAGGAATCACGATTCTAAACATTGGCCTTAGGAAGGAATTTATGACTAACTCCTCAAAAGCAATTACAACAACAACAACAAAAATCGACAAGTAGGATCTAATTACACTAAAGAGCTCTGGACAGCAAAAGAAACTACCAACAGAGTAAACAGATAACCTACAGAATGGCAGCAGATATTTGCAAACTATGCATGCAAAAAAGGCCTAATATCCACAATCTATAAGGAACAATTCAGCAAGCAGAAAACAAAGAATGCCATTAAAAAGTGGGCAGAAGACAAGAACAGACACTTCTCAAAAGAGATACAAGTGGCCAAGAAACAAATGAAAAAATGCTCAACATCAGTAACCATTGGAGAAATGAAAATCAAAACCATAATGAGATACTATCTCATACCAGTCAGAATGGCTATTAACAAAAAGTCAAAAAACAACAGATGCTGATGAGGCTGCAGAGAAAAGGGAATACCTACACATTGTTGATGGGAATGCAAATTAGTTCAAGCACTGTGGAAAGTGGTTTGGAGATTTCTCAAGGAACTTAAAACAGAACTACCATGTGACCCAACAATCCCATTACTGAGTATATATCCATAGGAAAATAAATTATTCTACCAAAAAGACACATTCACTCATATGTATGTTCATCACAGCACCATTTACAATAGCAAAGGCATGAAATCAACCTAGGTACCCATCAGTGGTGGACAGCTAAACAAAATATAATACATATGCACCATGGAATACTACACAGCCATAGAAAAGAATGTAATTTTGTCCTTTGCAGCAACATGGAAGCAGCTGGAGACCATTAACCTAAACAAACTAATGTGGGAACGCAAAAGCAAATACCATATGTTCTCACTTACAAGTGAGAGCTAAACACTAGGTACTCATGGACATCAAGATGACAACAATAGACATTGGAAACAACTAGAGGCAGGAGGGAAAGAGTAGGACAATGGTTGAAAACTACTTGTTGGACAGTATGCTCGCTACTTTGGTGACAGGATCATTAATATTCCAAACTTCAGCATCACACGATACACCTATGTAACAAACCTGTACATGTACCCACCTGAATCTAACACAGAGGTTGATTTTTTTAAGTGTGCCCCCTGTAGAGAACATATAGTTGAGTCTTGTTTCTTGAACCAATCGGACAAACTCTGTCTTTTAATTATATTTAGATCATTGACATTCAAAATGATTATTGACATAGTTGTATTATTATCTATCATATTTGTATTGTTTTTCTATTTGTTGCCCTTATTCTTTGTTCCCATTTTTGTCTTTTCTTCTGGTATTAATGATTTCATGTTCTCTCCTTCTTCACATATCAGTTATACTTTGTCTTTTATTTTTATTAGTGTCGCCCTTGAGATTGCAATATACAACTAATCCAAGTCCACTTTCTAATAATACTGTATCCCCTCATGGATAGTATGAATACTTCATAAAAATAAAATAATCCTATTATCCTCTTCCATTAATTATATCATTGCTGTTACTAATTTCACTTATACATAAGCATAGATAAGCACATATATGTACATTAAAAATATATATAAACATACAGCCAGGAGCAGTGGCTCACACCTGTAATCCCAGCACTTTGGGAGGCCGAGGCAGGTAGATCACGAGGTCAGGAGATCGAGACCATCCTGGATAACATGGTGAAACCCCATCTCTACTAAAAATACAAAAAATTAGCCAGGCGTGGTGGTGGGCACCTGTAGTCCCAGCTACTCAGGAGGCTGAGGCAGGAGAATGGCATGAACCCAGGAGGTGGAACTTGCAGTGAGCTGAGATCACGCCACTGCACTCCAGCCTGAGCGACAGAGCAAGACTCCATCTCAAAAACAAAACAAAACAAAACAAAACAAACAAAAAATATATATATATGAGAACACACATAAATACATTATTGCTATTATTATTTTAAACAAACTATTGGTAAGAAAAATAAAAGTTTTTACTTTCCATTCACTTACTGTTCCTTGATGCTTGTCCTGTCTATATGTAGATCCAAATTTCTGATCTATATCATTTTTCTTCTCCCTGAGGAATATCTTTTAACATTTTTTGTAGGGCAGATCTGCTTGCAATAAATGCTCTCAGTTTTTGTTTGTTTGGGAAAGTCTTTATTTCTCTTTCAATTTTGAAGGATAATTTGGCTTAATATAGAATTCTAGGTTGGTGAGTTTTTTCCCTCAACACTTTAAATGTTTTACTCTGCTCTCTTCTCGTTTGCATGGTTTCCAATGTTCAATGTCCTGCAAATCTTACCATCATTTCTCTATATATGTGCTGTATTTTTAGGTTTGCTTTTTTTTTTTTAGTCTGGCTAAAAATTTTATTTGGTTTTCTGTAATTTGACTACAATATGCCTAGTTGTGTTTGGGGTGGCAGCCGGTGGGGGGGTGTTTGGGGCATTTTTTTAATTTTTCATTTTTATGGGTAGATAGTAGGTGTATATATTTGTGGGGTACCTGAGATGGCTTTTTAAAATCCTGCTTGATGTTCTCTGAGATTCATGGATCTGTGACTTGGTATTTGTCATTAATTTTGGAATGTTCCCAAATATTATTGCTTAAAATATTTTTTCTGCTTCTTTCCTTTTTTTCCTTCCGGTATTCTAACTATACTTAGGTTATACTTTTTGTAATTGCTCCACAGTTCTTGAAGTTTTTGATGTTCTGTTTGGATTTTATTATTTTTTCTTTTTTCTTTTTATTTCAGTTCGGGAAGTTTTCATTGTCCTATGTAAAGGCCCTCTTATTCTTTCCGTAGCCATGAGTCTAGTGACATAGAGTGCTAATATGTCTTCAATACTTTGATTTCATTTCCTTTGGATAATTATTCAAATTTGAATTCCTAGATCACACATTAGTTCTATTTTTAATTTTTTTGAGAAGGCTGCACCATTCCTACTAACAGTGTGCAAGGGTTTCACTTCCTCCACATCTTCAACACTTGTTTTTTGGGGTTTTGGGAGGGGTTCGTTTTCTTTTAATAATAGCCATCCTGACAAATGTGAAGTGATATTTTGTTGTAGCTTTTATTTACATTTCCTTAATGATTAGTGACATTGAACATTTTTTCATACACCTACTGCCTGTTTATATATCTTCTCGGAAAAAATATCTATTAGCCCATTTTAATAGGGTTATTAGTTTTTTTACTATTGAGTTATAGGCGTTTTCATATACTTTGAATAGTAACCCCTTATTAGATAGATGATTTGCAAATCTTTTGTCCCATTCTGCAGGTTACCTTTTTACCCTGTTGATTGTTTCCTTTGTTGTACAGAGGCCTTTTAGTTTGATTTAGTCCCATTGTTTATTTTCGCTTTTGTTGCCTGTGCTTTTGGTGTCATATCCATGAAATCATTGCCCAGCCCAGTGTCATGAATTTTCTTCTCTATGTTTTCTTTTTTATTTAATTTTATTTTTAATTGACAAATAAAAAATATTTAAGGAGTACAATGTGATGTTTCAAAACACGTATACATTGTGAAAATAATCAAATCAGGTTAATTAAAATATCCATCACTTCACATAGTTATCATCTCCTTGTGATGAGAACATTTAAAATATACTCTTATAGCAATTTTAAAATATAAAATACATTACTGTTAAATATAGTCATGTGCAATAGATTACCAGAAATTATCCTTTTGTCTAACTAAAACTTTGTGCTGTTTGACAAATATCTCTTCTTTCCTTGTTTCCTATGCTCACTCACTCAACCTCTAGTAACCACTAATCTACTCTACTTCTATGAGTTCAACTCTTGTAGATTCCACATGTAAGTGAGATCATGTCGAATTTGTCTTTCTGTGCCTAAATTATTTCATTTACCATGATTTCTTCTAAATTAATCAATGTCACAAATGGCAGAATTTCTTACCTTTTTAAGGCTGAATCATATTTTGCTGTATTTATATAACACATTTTTAACACATCCATACATTAATGAGTACATCAGTTGTTTTCATATTTTGGCTATCATGAATAATGCTGCAATGAACATGGGGTGCAGACATCTCTTTAATATATGTATTTCAGTTCCTTGGGATATACACCCAGTAGCAGGCTTTCTGGATCATGTCATAATTCTATTTTTAGTTATTTGAAAAACTTCCATACAGTTTTCCATAATGGCTGTACTAATACATATTCCCATCAACAGTGTAAAACGGTTTTCTTTTCTTCACATCCATGACAACACTGGTTATCTTTCATCATTTTGATGATAATAATTCCAACAGGTTTGAGGTGTTAGATCATTATGGTTTGATTTGCATTTCCCTGTTGACTAGTAATGTTGAAATTTTTTTAATGTATCTGTTGGCCATTTTTATGTCTTCTTTTGAGACTTGTATATTCAGGTGTTTGTTCATTTGTTAATCGAGTTATCTTTTCTGTTATTAGATAGATTGAGTTTCTTAAATATTTAATATGCTAGCTCCTTATCCAATGTATGATTTGCAAATACTTTCCCCAAACTTTTAGGTTGTCTCTTCATTCTGTTAAGTATTTCCTTTGCAGTACAGCAGCATTTTAGTTTTATGCAATGAAAAATATCTTGGCCCAGGCCAATGTCATGGAGCTCTTCCCCTATGTTTTCTTCTAGAGTTTTACAGTTTCAGTTCATACATTCAGGTATTTAATCCATTTTGAGTTGACTTTTGTATATGGTGTGAGATAAGGGTTTAATTTTATTCTTCTGCATGTGGATGTTCTGTTTCCCCAGCACCATTAATTGAAGAGAATGTCCTTTCCCTATTGTGTGTTCTTGACAACATTACCAAAAATGAATTAGCTGTAAATGCATGATTCACTTCTGGGCTATTTATTATGTTCCATTGGTCTATGCTTCGGTTTTTATGAGAATACCATGCTGTGTTGATTATTATTGCTCTGTAGTATATTTTGGAGTCAGGTAGTGTGATTCCCCCAGCTTTGCTCTTTTGCTCATGACTGCTTTGGCCATTCAGGGTCTTTTATAGTTCCATATGAATTTTATGACATCTTTTATTTCTGCAAAAAAATTTGTTCATATTTTTATAGGGATTGCATTGAATCTACACATTGCTTTGAACTGTATGGACATTTTAACAATATTAATTCTAATCTATTACCATGAGATTTCTATTTATTTGTATCTTCTTCCATTTCTTTCAGTAATGTCTTATACTTCTCACTGCACAGATATTTCACCTTCTTGCTTAAGTTTCTAAGTATTTTATCCTTTTTGCAGTTATTTTAAATGAGATTGTTTTCTTGAATTTTTTCTGATAATTTTCTCTTAATGTATAGAAATGCTACTGACTTTTGTAAGTTGATTTTGTATCCTGCAACTTTACTAAATTGTTTCAGTGGTTCTAACAGTTTTTTGATGAATTATTTAGGGTATTCTACATATATGACCATGTTGTCTGCAAACAGGAACAATTAAATTCTTTCTTTCCTAACTGGATAGTTTTTATTTCTTTCTCTTGCTTAATTGCTCTCGCTAGCACTTCCAGTATTACTTTGAATAGAAGTTTCAAGAGTGGACATCCTTGTCTTTTTCTTGATCTTAAAGAAAAAGCTTTAACTTATAACCTTTAAGTATGATGTTAGTTGTGAGTCTGTCATATATGGCCTTTATTGTGTTGAGGTACAATTCTTCTTTACCTAATTTGTTGTGACTTGTTATAATGAAAGAATGTTAAATTTTGTCAAGTATTTTTTCTGCATCTATTGAGATGGTCATGTGGTTTTTCTCCTTCTTTCTGTTATTGTGGTATATCACATTTACACATTTGTGTATGTTGAACTACCCTTGCATACCAGGAATAAGTCCCACTTGATCATGGTGAATAATCTTTTTAATGCATTGTTGAATTCAATTTGCTAATATTTTCTCGAGGATTTCTGCATCTATGTTCATTAGGAATATTGACCTGTAATTTTCTTTTTTTGTAGAGTTTTTGCATGGTTTTGGTATCAGTGTAATACTGACCTTATAAAGTGGCATTGCAAGCCTTTCCTCCTCTTCAATTTTTGATAAGAGTTTGAAAAGGATTAGTATTAGTTCTATCAATGTTCGGTAGAATTCATCAGTGAAGCCATCAGATCCTACACTTTTTTTAATGGAAGAGTTTTATTACTGATACAATCTCCTTACTCATTATTGTTCTACTTCGATTTTCCAGTTCTCTATAATTCAAACTTGGTATGTTGTGTCTAGGAATTTATCTATTTGTTCTAGTTTATCCAGTTTGTTGACATATCACTGTTCATAAGTCTCTTTTAGACCTTTGTATTTCTGTTGTCTCCATTGTAATGCCTCCTTTTTTATTTCTGATTATTTATTTAAATCATCTCGATTGTTTTCTTAGTCTAGCTAAGGGTTTGTCAGTTTTGTCAATCTTTTCATAACACCAACTCTTAGTTTTGCTTTGATCTTGTCTATTGTTTATCTAGTCTCTGTTTTATTCATTTCTGCTTTGAATCTTTATTATGTTTCTTTTTCTTCTAACTTTGGTCTTAGTTTGTTCTTTCTTTTCTAGTTCCTTGAGATGTAATGTTAGGTTCTTAGATGTGAGATCTTTCTCTCTTTTTTTCACATAGGATGATTTATTGCTACAGACTTCAGTCTTAAAATTGCTTTTGCTGCATACTGTATATTTTGGGATATTATGTTTTCATTTTGGTTTGTCTCAAGATATTCTTAAATTTCCCTTTTAATTTCTTCATTGACCTACTTATCATCCAGGAGCATGTTTAATTTTGATATATTTGTAAACTTTCTGAAGTTTCTCCTCTTATTGTTTTTTAATTTTGTACCTTTATGATGAGAAATTATACTTGATATTATTTCATTCTTCTTAAATGTGTTAAGACTTACTTTGTGATCTAACACATAATATATCCTGGAGAATTTTGTGTGTGCACTTGAGAAGGGTATGTATTCTGCTGCTATTGGATAAAAGGTTCTGTTATGTCCATTTGGCCTAAAGTGCACGTTAAGTTCTATACTTCCTTAATGACTTTCTGTCTGGATTATCTATCCATTGCTTAAATTGGAGTATTGATGTCCCCTACTATTATTGTATTACATTCTATGTCTCCCTTCAGATCTACTAATATTTGTTTTATATATTTAGGCATTCTAATGTTGATTGCATATGTGTGTGTGTGTATATATATAATATATACACGTATATTTTTACATAATCATATTATATATCTATACACTTATATGTTTATATATGTGTATTTATATAAAAATATATATATAATTGTTATATCCTCTCTTGACTGACACTTTTATCATTATATAACGCTTTTTCCTTTTCACAGTTTTTGACTTAAAGTCTATTTTATCTGATATAAGTATTGCTATTCTTTTTTCCTTTTGGTTTTCATTTGCATGAAATACCTTTTTCTGTCCCATTACTTTTGTCTATGTATATGTGTCCTCACAAGTGAAGTTAGTATCTTGTAGGCAACATATAACTGGAACATATAACTGGAACTTGTTTTCATTCAGGCACTCTGTGTTTTTTGATTGGAGAATTTAATCTATTTATATTCAAGGTAATTAGTGATAGGTAAGTAGTCACTATTGCCATTTTGTTAGTTGCTTTCTAGTTGATTTGTAGATGTTTTGTTACTTTCTTCCTTTCTTCCTTTGTGATTAAGGAAATTTCTCTAGCAATAAGCTTTGATTCCTTACTTTTTATTTTTTGTTTATCTAACATAGGTTTTTGTTTTGTGGTTACCACAAGTATAGGAAGTAAAAGAATATACAGGGAAATAATTTTTTAAATGAGGAAAACAATAAAAGACCAAAATGGGAAATTTAACAAGATTAAAATTATTTTAAAATCAAACAGAAACCCTGAAGCTGAAAATTACTATGCACAAGATGAAAAGTGCAATACAGAGCATCAATAGTGAAAATGACCAATCAGAAGAAAGACCCTGTAAACTTGAGGTCTAGGGCTATTGGAGTCTGCTCATTGTAGGGTTTTACTGCTGTGGGCCCAGTGTTGAAGCCTGAGGCAAAGTCCAGTGTTCACTTCTGTATCTTTTCTTTAAGCAGAGAGTGTCTCCCCCAGTGCTGTGGGGCCTGAGATTAGGGGAGGGGTGACATAGGTAATGTAAAAGTGCACATTCTACCCTGTTTAATATATCTTTTCTTATTTCCTTGCTACACTTAGGTGCTGTTATCCCTCACCTGGTTTTCTTTGCTTTTTTGTAAAGGTATTTTCATGTGTGGATAGTTGGTCAATGATGCTTCTGCAGGGACACAGGCACTGGAAAATCCTGTTCTGCCATCTGTCTCTACCCTTCTGTTTTTGTTTTCTTCAAAGAGTTTTACAGTTTCTGGTCTTATGTGTAAGTCTTTAATCTATTTTCAGTTTATTTTTGTGTATAGTATAAAATCAGGGTCCAATTTCATTCTCTTACATGTGGATATCCAGTTTTCTCAATATCATTTTTTGAAGAGACTGTCCTTTCTTTATTGTGTATTCTTGCCACACTTGTTGAAGATCAGTTGATTATATATGCCTGAATTTATTTCTGGGCTCTATATTCTGTTCCATTGATCTATGTGTCTGTCTTCATGCCGGTACTATACTCTTTTAATTACTGTAGTTTTGTGATATGTTTTGAAATCAAAAAGTGTTCTTTTTTTCTCAAGATTGATTTAGCTATTCATGGTCTTTTGTAGTTCCATATAAATTTCATAGTTTTTTTTTTCAATTTCTGTAAAAAATGCCATTGGAATTCTGAGAGGAGTTGCACTGAATCTGTAGATTACTTTAGATAGTATGGATAGTACGGATATTTAACAATATTAAGTCTTCCAATCCATGAACATGGGATATCTTTCCACTTGTTTGCGTCTTGTTTGATTTCTTCCATCAATGTTTTGTAGTTTTCGGTATACAAATTCTTCATCTCCTTTGTTAAATTTATCCTTTTTAGTGCTATTGTAAATAAGATTGTTTGATTCATTTCCTTTCCAGAGGTTTTGTTGTTAGTATGTAGAACTGCAACTGATTTTTGTATGTTAATTTTGTATCCTGCAAACTTATTGAATGTGTTTCCTTGTTCTAATAGTGTTTTGATGGGGTCTTTAGGATTTTCTATATATAAGATTATATCATCTGCAAACAGGGACAATTTTAATTCTTCTTTTATTATGTGGATACCTTTTATTTATTTTTCCTGCATAATTGCTCTGTCTAGAACTTTCAATACTACATTGAATAGAAGTGGTAGGAGTGGGCATGCTTGCCTCATGAACATATGTTCATCTATGTTCTCTATTTTGAATAGAATTCCTAACATATCAATTATAGTTATTTTAAATTCCTATTTTATAATTTCAACATCTTATGTTGTATCAGAGTCTGGTTCTGATTGCTGCTTTCTCTCTTCAGACTGTGTTTTTTTATTGCCCTTTGGCATTACTTGCGATTTTTTGTTAAAAGTATCACATGTATTAGGTAACATGGACTTAATAAATAGATCTTTAGTATAAGAATTTATGTAATCTGGCTAGGAGTTGGGCCAAGTTTAATGTTTGCTGTAGCTACAGGTGCCAGAGGCTTCAAATTCCTGTGATGTCCTTTTGTTGTCTCTCCTCTTGACTTTGATTTCACTAAGAACTCTCCCTTCCTCAAAAAGAGTCTTTGTCTGGCAGCTTTTTCAACTATAATCCACTCTTAGCATACTGATTTCTATTGGTGTGGCAGTATAAAGGAGCATTCTATAATTCTCCAATTAAACTTCACCAGTCTTCTAGCTGACCTGTCTCAGAGCTGTGATCTTTACAGTGTTTTCCCACAAATATAGCTCTGTTCCATCCCTGCTTACTACTTTCTTCCTAATTTCAGGATTTCTAATCTATTTCCTTAAAGCCCTGACTCCTTTATGTCTTCCTGTTTCACACTCAAATAAGAAAGCTAGAGGAAACTAAAGTGTAAGAAATGCCTTTACCCCAGATGGACTAAGGCAAGCCCTTTTCCCTGGAGAGTGGGGCTTGGTTACAGAGAACGTTCTGGGTATATTTTTCAGTGATTGCTCTTCCTCTCCATCTGGCAGAGACACAGAGATTTTCCTCAGATATTCACCATGAGAACCTGGTACTTTCTTGGAGGCAAATTTCATGAAAATGTGATCCCCTTTTCTAGGCTATGGCCCCGCAAATGTTTATCACTCTCAAATTAGTCCAGCCTCTAGCAATCCATCAAAATTACTTGTGTTCCTTCTACTTTATGGTTTCGGCAGCTTTTGCCTGAGGTAAACAGATTTGGATATGTCTCTCTGGATGTACTTGTCCCTCCAGGTTTCATGATGGCCATTTGTCCCAAGACCTCAATTCTCTGACAGGTCCATGAAAAGTCATTGATTTCCAGTGTGTCCAAATTTTTCTTGTTGTAAGGATAAGAGTTATGACTTTCAAGCTTTTTACATATCAGAATGCAGATGGGCAGCCCATTGAAAGGTTGTTAGCACAGGAATAATATTGTGTTCTATGCCTTATGTTTTTAAAAGACCACTCTGTATATTATATCTCCCTTTTTGGCCTCAGGCTCACATATTTTAGGTTTTTTTGACAAACACCATCTTAATTGCAATCCAACACTTATAAAATACATGGAAGAAGAACATGCAATGGACACTTTAATTCCATCTAGGAACATCTAGAATGCTCCAGAGAGGTGATAATTTTAGGGCATGAGGATTCATTCTGCACACACTCCATGGTAATTTCTCAAAACAACTTATTCATGTTAGCCATAGCCTTAAGTCTAAATACCATGGTGATGTGCCATAGCAGTGTTGTTTGTATCAGTAAACCCCCTCCACTTACTTCCTCAGTGGAGATGGTTGGTGTCATCTCCATTTATTTTCTAATGTTACTTTCTCCCATCCTTCTATTGGGATGCCCTTACCTTGCCTAACTTTTGGAGTCTAACTCATGTGTCACATACTCAGTGAAGATTTCTCTAACTAGAACCACTTTCTGTCTTCTCCTCCTTCCTAAATCCCTATTGTGAAAACAATTCATACCCAAAGAAAGCATCACTGTTTTTTTCTCAATTGAACTAAGTTTTAAATTCATTCAATTACCCTAGAGTTCATAGAGCAGTGTGAGCACATACTGAATGCACAACAATTGCTTGTTAATTGAGAAAGAGATTCCTAGAAGCTGGCTTTTGTGGGCTACTTGTTTTGCATGCTGGTGAAATTTGTAAGAGGATGATAGACAATTGGGCTAATAGAATGAAAATTTACCTGCAAGGTTCAGTTGAATTATAGTCAGTCCTTACTTAACATCATCAATAGGTTCTTGGAAACTATGACTTCAAGCAAAGTGACATATGAAAATGCCAATTTTACCATAGGCTAATTGATCTAAACAAGAGTTAAGTTACTATATCATATTTCTGATCATGAAAACATCACCAAACTTCTAATAAAGACACAAAGTACTTCTAATATTAAATATTAAAATAAATGTGAGCTATACACACAGTTAAGAAAGATTAATAAAAACAAATCAGATAATCATTTACCAAATTTTTGGTGAATTAGTGAGTGATGACAGTTGTAGTGATGGTGAGTTAATTCAAAGAATAAATGTTTGCAAAGTGAAAATTGTCAGGATTACCTCTTATCTCCTTGCAGTTCAAAAGTAAATAATAACAAATATGACGACTCACTGAGCATTTCCTTACTGCATCATTTATTGCTGTGCATTTGTATGATTATCATATACTTTATGAATTTTCATTTTACAATAACTTGTATTTATTATATTATTCATTATTCATTGTACTTATTCTAGTTCAGAGTCTCGGGTGGCCAGAATCTATCCTGGAAGGTCAGGGTCCTAGGCAGGAGCCAACTCTGTACAAGATGCCATCCCATCACAGGATGCACTGTCACACTCTGTCACACTCACTCGCTCAAACTGGGACAATTCAGACATGCCAATTAACCAGATATGCACATCTTTGGGATGTAGGAGGGAACCAAAATCCATGAAAGAAACCCACACAGACATGGGGTGAAGGTGCAAACTCTACACAGACAGTGGCCCCTGCGGGAATTGATTATTTTTCCTCAACATTATAGAAACAACATTGAGCAAAACAATGTTATTTGCGGACCTGTTGCTAACGAAAATAACATTATTTTAATGTGTGTGGATATGTGTGTTTATAGGTCTATATCTTAATTAAAACTTTTTATTAAGAAAAAATAAGCATAATTTCCCTTTCCTACATACTTTACCTATTTTATATTTTAATTTATGTGATTAGATCTAAACTGTTCTAAGAATGGCAGCTGAGTCCTGAGGCAGCATCATATAAATCACAGAACAATGAAATCTGAGAGCTCAAAGGGATATGAGAGTTTATCTGGTCCAATCTTATTTCAGAAAGGGAAATCATGGTTCAAATAGCATTAAAAGGCTTGTCTAAGTCAAAGTGCCAGTGTCTGGAATCTACCTTCACTACATCCCCCTCCAGAATCAATGCCCCATCAGCAGGTGCTAGGTACACCAGAGGCCTAAGGTGGACATGACAATGTGATCATGGGATAGAGTTGTCTACCTGTTTCTCTGAGTTCTGGATGAAATGAGACGCAGTGAGATGCTGTCTGTTCTCCAAGACTGAAAATTCAATCTTTGGTCAACTATTTCAATGCACATCAGAAGTATTTAATAGGCCACTTGGCTTTTCTATAGTCCTGGTGATAATTCCTTTGCAGAAACATCCACAGCATAGAAGTTGTTAACACCAAACTAAATTTTTTGTTAATAAGAGATCACCCCAAGTGACCAATTTAATTTTTTAAAATGTGCATTCCAAAGGGTGCCTCACACGGGAAGGGGTTTGTTTTTTGCTTTTTTTAAAAAAAACAAAACAAAACACTAATTAACATCAGTATCTCCATGTGCTGCTCACAATTAGCATGCAGAAAAGCCAGCACCAATTAACAAAACAACATGCCAACAAACACACAGCATAGACGAGGCACATTCAGAAAGCACAGGGCAGGTTGTTTTGGACTCTGGCCCTGAAAAAACGTCTGTTTTAGTCTCCCTCAGCACTGCTTTTGTTTTCATTTTTTTTCAATTAAGCCCTTTAAATACACACTTGTACCAAATAAACAGGGAGGGTGGGAGGGCAAACATTTCAATAATCTGAATTTTTTGCCTTAAGCCTAAGTAGGGCTTACAAACTAAAGCAGATTTCTGATTGTGCCATTGGGTTGTTTCTTTGCCATCCACCTGGTGCTATTATATCCAATTCATTGATAGAGATTTTATGCCATTTTCTTCTGAGATTCCTTTTTCTCCTTCATTAATCACTAAAGTAGTGAATAGTAGCTGATCCAATGAGAAAGACAATACGGAGGAACAGAAAACAAGTGACTGCCCTGAAGTTCAGACTTTGGCTGCCTCTAACTTCATCTTCCCTCTGGTCGTTTTCACTTTCATGTGCCAAACAAAGACTTTTTAAAGTATTTTAAAACATGTTCCCTTAAGGGTTTGCTTTCAAAATGAAGTCTTGCTTTAAACATCTCTTTTGTGCATGCTCTGCAGGATGGCTGGACAATTTCCAATGCTGCCTCAGCCTGTAGACTCTCTGTTATAATTTCGTTTTAACAATTTCCATCCCAAACACACTACAGCAGCAGCTGACATATAAAAACTTCAGTAAGGTGTAGTTTTAAGGAGAGTAGCCGTGGGCAGAGCTTTGATTCTTTATCTCCTAGCGACAGACAAACAGGTCCACAGAAAGTCACCACACACCCGTGAACCAGGTGGAACAAAAACATCAGATTCAAAGGCTACTTGCACTTTAGAAATGGGTCTTTTTCTGTCTGTTTTTCTTTTCAGTTCCTAGTCTGTGCACTACCTGCTTTGGCCATTACTGGGACTACCTGTTGCATTTCCCATAATATGTTTTCCTTAGTCTCAAAAGCAGAAAGCACTGAAGGACAATTTCTCTGTGGCATCTCACCCAACTCCAGGGTTTATCTGTGCTTAGTCAATCAGAAGTTTGACCTTGGTGGGTTTCACACATAATTCTTGTATTTTTCCTCCCTTGAAGATTTTCAATTAGTTTTTTCTATAATTTTAAGATATATCCCTTTTCTTTTCTAAGAGTCAAGTACAAAACAAAGGAGATAAAAAAAGGACATAGAGACACATCATAAATGCATTATTTTTCTTAAGAGCTTTATGGAAACATAACACATACCATACAATTCACCGATCTATTCCTACATTCCATATAAATGGAATCATACAATATGTGGTCCTTTGTAACTGGCTTATTTCACTTAGCATAATATAATGTTTTTAACATTCATCGATGTTGTAGCATGTATCAATATGTCATTCCTTTTTGTGGCAGAATATTTCAGTGTATGGATATATCACATTTTGTTTATCCATTCATCAGTTGATTGGCATTAGGGTTGTTTCTACTTTTTGGCCATGATGAAAAATGTTTAGCAGCATTTAGGAAGATTTATGTACAATTTTTTGGTGGATATATGTTTTCATTTCCTTAAGAATACACCTAAAAGTGGAATTGCTGGATCATATGATAATCTCTATGTTTAACCATTTGAAGATCTGTCAGGCTAGTTTGCAAAGCAATTGCATCATTTTACATTCCCACCAGCATTGTATAAGGGTTCTGATTTCTCTACTTCCTCACCAACATTTTATATTATTTGTCTTTTTTATTATAGCCAACTTAGTGTATGTTAGGTAGTATCTCATTGTCATTTTGACTTACATTTTCATGATAGCTAACCTTTTCATGTGCTTACTGGCTATCTGTCTATCTCCTTTGGAGAAATGTCGATTCAGATCATTTGCCCTTTGTTTTGCTTTGTTTTGTTTTGTTTTGTTTTGTTTTTTTGAGATAGAATCTCATTCTGTCACCCAGGCTGGAATGCAGTGGCGCGATCTTGGCTCACTGCAACCTCCACCTCCCGGGTTCAAGCAATTCTCCTGCCTCAACCTCCTGAGTAGCTGGAATTACAGGTACCTGCCGTCAAGCTCAGCTAATTTTTTTTTTTTCAGTAGAGAGGGGGTTTCACCATGTTGTCCAGGCTGATCTCAAACTCCTGACCTCAAGTGATCTGCCTGCCTCTGCCTCCCAAAGTGCTGAGATTACAGGCGTGACCACCACGCCTGGCCATTTGCCCATTTTTATTGACATGGAGTCTTGCTCTGTCACCCAGGCTGGAGTGCAGTAGTGCAATCTAGGTTCACTGCAAGATCCGCCTCCTGGGTTCACGTCATTCTCCTGCCTCAGCCTCCCAAGTAGCTGAGACTGCAGGTGACCCCCACCACGCCCAGCTAAGTTTTTTCTATTTTTAGTAGAGATGGGGTTTCACCGTGTTATCGAGGATGGTCTCAATTTCCTGACCTCATGATCCACCAATTTTTTTTTAATTGGCTTGTCTTTTTATCATTGAGTTGTAATAATTCTTTATATATTCTAGACACAAATCCCTTATCAGAGATACGATTTTTAAGCTTTTCTCCCCTTCTGTGAGCTGTCCTTTCCCTTTTTTGTGACATTCGTTGAAGCATAAAAGGTTTTAATTTTGATTTTGATTTTAGGTTTGGCAACATCACAGATGCATTTTTGTCCAAAGGCTCTCACTGACTTGAAGCAACATAAGGCCAGAAGTTCACGCAGCAGAATATAAACTTCTGTGAGACTTAATCATACCATTCCTGTGTATCCATATCTTAGCTAAGAATCATTTTAATGATTCCAAAAGAATGGTTAAAAAGTACCCATAGTGGTCTTTGAACAAAATCTTATTTCAAGATATTTTACATCTCAGAAGCATAGCTTTCTGCCTCTGAAGCCCATGTTTGAAGTCTGCTAGTAATTGTACTTACTCTGCAGAAAAGGAGGACAAATGGAAGATTTCAGACACAGGCCGCAGATGGACATTTGACCATAAGAATCGATCCAAATAAGCTCTGGCTGCCAAAACTACTGCCATTCAAAACTGTGGGGTTTGTTCAGTTTTAAAGAGACTTCAAAATGAGAGATGCCATTAGAAAAGTGCCACCAAAATTTAATCAAAAGGTTTGTTTCAAATGTATTTATTTTGTAAGGTTAAGTCTTGTGCAATTTTCTTTAATTTAAATCAATTAAATGAGTTGTACAGATACTAACCAAATAATATAGATTCTCAAAAGCCAAGTTACTAATTTGAGTTTTTTCAGTCATTAGTGCAATTGAGAGCTTTTTCAAAAAAAAAAAAAAGGGGAGAAAAAGGAGAAATACATTGAGTGAGTCTAGGGTATGTGGTAAGCCAGGAATGGGCCATTATACTCAAAAGGTGTCTCTCTGTAAGCAGATCAATTCTCACATCATTTATTTTGTTAAGGGGAATATAGTGGAGCCAGGTAGGGCTATAACCATTTGTTCTGCTGCATGGCCACAATATATCCTTTTGTTTTCTCCCTGTCAGGACTGCCTCAATCATGTAATAACCATACCTAAAAGTGACCACTCACAGCTTCACTGGATAAATTAAGCCTGCCAGGGAAACAGGGATTAATGTATGCTCACTATGCTGGTAGAAACAGACAATTCAATGTTTTTGGAAGGCTGATCCCCCAAAATTCCTAAACATTTCTTCTGTCAATGGCAAAGATTTCTAAAACAAACAAACAAACAAAAACAAACAAACAAAAAAACTACATCTAACATCACCAGCAAAATGTGTTTAATTAGATTGGGGTTTTGTTTTCCAGATCCTTCCTAAACAAAAATTCCCCTTCTCCACAACCAAGAAAAAATAATTAAAACAGATAAATCAAAGCTCTCTGCTCAGTTCTATATCTTCCAAAATATAGTCCATGGGGAACATTGCAGGGGAAGAAAGGAGAACTTTCACTAGAATTACGAATGTGACATTGAGCAGCATTTTTTACTTTCCAACATAAACTTTGGAAGATTATGTCTTAACATCTTGACCATGTTCACAAGAAAATATCATGTTTGTTGGCAGAACAAAATTGCTACATTACAGTAATAACATCTTAGGTTCATACAACTCTGCTACACTTCAAATGCATTTGATAATATTGTCTTTTCCATGTGCCCGAGACCCCAGAAGGAAGGGGTCTTCACAGACCCTGAGGTGAAACACAGAATAACTTAACACAAGTAATTTGTGGCTCTGACTGTTGTATTCTTGCTTCTAGGCTTTCTGACTTCTGGACCTTCTCCTTCCCTGCTGCTTTTCCCCTCCTACCTCAAAATCTGGGTAAAGCATCCAGGAGAATAGTCTCTCTGCTCCATAGACTGTAGTTCTTGTCATCCCCCAAATGATCTTTTCCTTGTATAGTGGCTCAGGTGTGACAATTTGCAATAGACTAGGAACCACCTACTGCAAGTCATTTTTCTCAGAGATTTAAAAAGCTCGCCAAACTCTCAAGGTTGCTATTTACACCTCTGTAGCTGTTAGCCAGAGGCTCCAGAGAAAAGCACTCAACAACTGCCCCCCTAACACACACACACACACACACACACACACACACACACACACTCACACACCATTGCTTTCTACTGTCCTGCCCATAAATGGCCCCTCTTCCAGAATCACATCTCATTTCTTTCTTTTCTGGATCATATCTAGACATACGTGGGAGTTCTGGCAGGAACTGGCCAGAGTTGTCCCTGGGCCAGGAGGAGAGAGTCTGGAGTTTGTGTAAGCCTTCCATTTGCTATGTCATCTCCCAGGAAGAAAATCCCTTCACATACATGCTATCCTCAGTCCTCCAGGCTCAGTGGAGCTTCCATAATCACAGGTCCACCTGCCCAGAACCCAACCCAACTAACACAACCAGTGAAACTATGTAATGAGCTATAGAATGGGCATGAGCTATGGAGTCAGACAGACCCAGGCATGAGTCCTGGCTGTAGCATGATTAGCTGGCCTTCAGCAAATCGCATAACCTCCAGAGGCCTAGATGACCTCATGTAAAAAATAGCAATAAGACTTACACAGGTTGCAGTGAGGACTAATGAAGACAATAGATGTAAAGTCCTGAATACAGGACCTCGTACTGAGGACTGGCATGTGGGGAGCACCGAGTGAATTGTTGTGATAAGACAATTAATAATCAGTGAACGGTCTCCAAGGCCATTGCAAATACTTAAGGCTGTGCTTACCCTAGACCCACCCATGGCTGTGGAGCACCCCAGAAATGTTACATATCTGAGATCTCTTCAATTTCAGGAAAATGCCCAAGGTTAGAATCCAATCATTTCAATTATGTGAATGGTGGCAGCATACCCTAACTAGGACCACCCTACTAAACTCTTAAAAGTTGAGTGAGCAAACCTAGACATATACTCCCTTTTATTTCAAGAAGCACTTATTGAGCACCTACTGGGTGTAAGTCATCATGCTTTAGTGCTTCTGGGAAAACCAGATTGGGTAAGTACCTTTGCTATTTTCAACGAATTACAACCTACTAAAAGAGTTATACATAGTTATACACAGTGATGACAGGCAAAATACAATCCAAGATGATACATTTACAGAGTGAAATGTATGCCTGTGAAAGCACAGCCCTCCCATGGGCTTTGCACAGGCTCCCCAAGCACTAACACCCAGTGGATATGCTTCAGGCCCAGAATTAAAGCACACCAAAGAAGAGCCACAAGAATAGATCCCTTTGGATAGAGAGATTGACAACTCTTGTTCCTCAGCCCCAGACCATGCCTTCTGAACTTTCTGGTCTCCAAGCATGAGTGGGATGTGGTACAGCTATCAAATGTTTGTGTTATTTACACATGTGTTTCTTCTGTCTACCAGAGCTCAGAAGGGCCCTGAGACAGAAAGCCAAGCCGTTTCCCTTTGTAGCTCTGAATCTTTCTGTGCTTGACAGGTCCCTCCTCCAGGGGCCTATAGTCCTCGCAAGAATGGCCAAGATGTCCTCTTCCGACAAAGGAGGAGTTTGCACATTTTCTAGAAAGTCCAAGTATTTTATGAAGCAATAAAACAAAAGCTGAGAGTCTCAAGGTCATCCAAGGGTATGGACAGAAACTGTGGGGCATATGAACCCATTTGAACACCAGCCAGGCAATGAGAAAATCCTGACTGATAGTGTCCTGTGGAGCCTCAGCTCCTTCCTATCTGCCTGCAAGGGAGTTGGCTCTTCTTTCTCTGCTCCTGGTGAGGCTGCAAATGCCAGCCCCAATCTGGATAGGAGGCTCAACTCAGTTAGTGCCCAGGTTAGAAAAAGCAGCAAGCAGCTCCTCTCTGGCCTGCTGAGGTGTTCACAGAGGGGGCCCAAGTCTAGAGAGCAGCATCTGGTACCTTCTCATTAGTCACTCCTAGCTCGCAGCCTCAGGATCCACATCCACTAGCCTGGAAAACTCCTCCAATTACACAGCTGGTGGCCTTGTCAAAAAATGAAAGCATCTTCACTGGTGTCACCCTCCAGCTCAGAGTTGCCCAGCCAAGCCAAAGCCCCTGCCCCTAACCCCTTCTACACATTGCAGCCAAAGATCTTTCTAAAACAAAGCACTGATCACTTCACTCCCCTGCTTCAACAGCTCCCATTTCCCCACCAATTTTCAAAGTAAGATCCAAACTCCCTGCTTCACTGCATGACCTGCCCTCACTCCACTTTCAATTGTCTCCTGCTATACCCCCACCCTTCTCTATGATGTGTTTTCCATGCTGAATTCCCTCCAGCTTCATAAGCACATTGCTGATATTCTTTTTTGCTCCCCCACCCTTAAGCCTTTGTGCAAATGCCTTCCTCTGAATATAACCTGCTCTACAGCTCTAACTCCTCATTCTCTTGCACAGCAGAACCCTTTCAGGGCTCAATTTAAATGTCATTTTCTCCGAGAAGCCATCTTTATCTGATCCACTTCCAAAGACTAAGTAAGCTATCCCTCATTCGAGTTTCCAAAGCACTTTATACTTCCCATAAATTATTGTGCATTGCATTATATTATGCTTGCTATTTATTTTATTAATTATTGCTCCTCACTCTCCACATACACATTGTATTTTGAGGTCCTTGGAAGTACGACTGTGCTATTCACCATTATAGACTTCTCTTTTAACCTAGCATAGTGCTTGACAAATAAGTATGTAGCCTTAAATATCTATCAGATGAATGTATGACAGCTAAGTGAATCAGCATCAAAAATGAGTAAAGAACTTTCCTATAACTAAGTTTTAGATCAAGAAGATATCTAATAAAGCATCCAATTCGACCCTCTTGCCTTTAGAGATAAAGGAATTGGAGTCCAGAGAAGGTAAGTGATAGTTTGGTTGGCAATTGAAATCCCAGCCTGAGTGAAAAACTCATGTCCCTAAATTCCCCTGCAAGAGCTCATGCAGACACCAAAAACTTAAAGAATCTATCATTAATAGGATAATTTTTTATTTCATGATAGGATCCTTAAGCTCTATCCTCAAATCAGACCAAAATTCAGTAGCACAGTGGTAGTGTTTTCTCTAGGAGAAACCTCATCTTGAACCTATTCTGCTCGGTATATAATATTGCATAGACACACGCTCTAAGGAGTCCATGTAATTCTTTCAAGTTCTTCTTGCTCCATGTTGAAAGAATGGACAAGGAGCATCAGGCTGTTATGCCATCATAGTACCCTCAAAACCCCTTTATATTTTAACATACTAAAGAGTAGCAAGAGAAATCTTTGGCTTTCCCTCTAAGTTCTATTGTAGGATTTATTGAGTAATTTGTGACAAGTTGATTTGTGACTATTATCTGTAGGACAATAACAAATTCCTAATACCACATTTGCTTCCTATGGAGGTTCAGTTATTTATTTATTCATAATTTCTCTGAGACAGGGTCTTGCTCTGTCAGTCAGACTGGAGTGCAGTGGTGCAATCATAGCTCACTGCAGCCTCAATCTTTCGGGCTCAAGTGGTCCTCCCGCCTGAGCCTCCTAATTAGCTGGGACTACAGGTGTACACGACCACCAAAAAAGTACCCTGCCAGCTTTTTTTATTTTTAGTAGACATGAGGTCATGCTATGTTGCCCAGGCTGCTCTTGAACTCCTGAATTCAAGCAATCCTCCTGCCTCAGCCTCACCAATTGCTGGGATTACAGGTGTGAGCCACCACGTCCTGGCTGGAGATTTATTTTAATTGTATGTTATAATCCAAATTGCTGCAAATTCTTTAAATTGAGTGGATTGTATTTTACAAATAATTCATCTGGAAGCTGAATTCAACTCCCAGATTCTTTCGCAGTTGCAGTGACCTGAGAGCAGAGGGAGGTAAGTGCCCCTGATACTAGGCAGTGGGTGAACAATCAGAGGCCCCTGATTGTTAGGCACTAGCTGGTTGAGTGACAGAATGAGTAATATTATGCTGCTCTCTGGATTCAGCAGGAAGTCAGAAGTTATTGCCCTTAATAGTGTTCTGTAGGATTCCATTGAGCCAACTCCCATCCTCTTGTATTGACAAGAATGAGAGTTAAAATTCATTATCAATTTTTTTTAAAAGTTCCACCTTTCAAAATAATCTCTTTTTGAGAGTTTTCCTGAGTTCAGAAGAACCCTACTTCCACTCCTTTGGCTCTCTTGCTCCCTAGCAAGGGGCTACAGCATTGTCCATCCCTTTTGGCCCAGTTGCAGGCAAACGGAAGTTTTTTGCCTTCCATCATCAAAGTACCCATGGTCACTTGGAAAACAGCTTCCCTTAGGAGACAACAACACTGGAAATGCTTAGAAATGTCCTGCTCCTAAACTAACTTCTTTTGTTTTAAACTTCTTTTGTTTAAAACATTTTTTTGTTTTAAAATCTAAAATAGGATTCACTTACAGATGAGGCAATTCTCTATTAACCAAAGATATCCTGCTATGTACCCCCTTCTTTGTGCTGTGGTTTTCATGCTGAATTCCATCCTCATTTGATCACATAGTTCTGTTGGGGCTACCCACAGAAAGACACTGACCCTGCTCCCTGGACTTTCCCAAGACTAGTTCTACACTGAGGCAGCTCCTCCCATAGTGCCCTCCACCAAAAGGCCACCTGGCTTTCCTGTTCCATGGACAGAACCCACACCGGCTTTCTTGTTCTGTGAACATGGTCTTTTCTAGGAGCACCTTTATCATAACCAATCAAACATGTCTTCCCTCTGAAATACTCTTCTTAAAAAAAAAACGCAGGATGAGGTGTCCCTCACTTAAAATATTACAGATGTCACCTCCCCTTAGGGAATTTTTGTTTCACAACAGGAAACAGAAGTTTCTTTCATACTGATTCTCAACTCTCTGTTCTTATTCTTTTGATGTGAAAGAGAATTTTGATAAATTGCCAGCACAAGACTTCTAAAGGCTAAGTTGTATGTTTACATGCTGGTCTCTGTGACAAGGACAGTGTACTGTTTATTTCTATACAATTACAGATTCTTTACAATTGCTTAATAAATGCCTTTTGAATGCTGGCTGATTGACCATGCTTAATACGAAACAGGATATCCTAGAGATGCTTACAACAATATTTGCATAACCAAGTTAGTCATTTACTCCCAGACTCCCACCCAAAGCAGGAATCGCTTTTACAATATCCTCGCTTCTGTGTGAGTTCTAGTGGCAAGAAGTTTGTTTGCCACTCCCTAGCTCTAGACAACCCAACTGCTTATATTGAGTTGAAAGCAGCTTCCTTGAAATTTCCATTTGATTTGGTACAAATTAGGCTTGACATCCACATCTTAAAATCACCTTGGAGACCAAGCTTGACTTTTGATTTTAGCAGTGGAACACCAGCTTTCTTTGCTCACCCCAGGAACTTGAATCTGGTAAATGAACACTGGAAAAGGCAACTAGGTAATAAGCTGATCTTCACATACACCTCCCTAAGATATGAGAGCCATTGATGTTGCAAGGGCCATGACAGAAGGACATTCCTCTTGATTTTGAATCCTAATGTGGCTAACATCTTACCAAGTTTTTTTAAAACATTTGGCCATTCATTCTCAAACATCTTTGAAACGCCTACTAAACACCAGGCACTGAGGTAGGTACTATGCATACAGAGATTAAAAACACAGTCAAAGCTTTCAATAAAATCACATTCTAGCTTGAAAAAAAAGTAAAACAATAAAATCAAAACTATGTAATATCCACAGACACAGAGTTCTAGTTCTATAGAGAAATCTTTAATTCAGCCAACAAAGTTCATAGAAGGCTTCCCCAAAGTGGAAATGTTTGACCTGATTCACTGTATGACAGAGTAAAATCTAGCCAGCCAAAGAAGAGGAACAGTAATTGAAGCAAAAGGATCAACCTATGCAACAGCATGGAGAATACAGGACTAAAACATGCCCAGGCTTAAAGATATTCTGATGTTCCTGGAGTGTATGTTGAAATGAGGGACTGACAAAGAGGTGAAGCTAGACGCAAATGCTGGGGCCTGATTACCAATGACCTAATATGCCATACTAAGAAGTTTGGCCTTTATCCTCTAAAATAGAGTCATTGAGAACTTTGGGACGTATAGTAGCCATATGATATTTGCATTTTGGAAAGATCACTCTGCTGGTATGGTAGAAAGAAGATAGGAGGAGGCAAGAGTAAGCCAAGGAGAAAGAAGGAGTAGGTTGAGATGACCTAGAATAGAATGAAGAAAGCAGCAGTGGAAATAGGGAGAAAGGGACTGATTTAGGACACAAAAAAGGACAATCAATAGGACACAGTAGACTTTTGGACATGGGTTGAGAGAGAAGAGGAGTCCAGGGTGATTCTAAGATTTCTAGCTTATGTGACCAGATGGAGACAAGCACATTCACCACATTGCCTTTGTTAGTGTTGCACATGGACCGCAGACATCAGAATCACTAGAGATATGTGCAAACAATGTCAATTCCTTGCCCCATTCTAGAACTTAATGAGTCAGAATTTACACATGCTGAAGTTTGATACCCACTGCAGAAAACAGAAAGAAGAGTAGGTGAGACAGTAAGGCAGGTAATAAGCTTAGTTTAAAGCCTGTTGATTTTGAGAAGCCAAAGGAACATCCAAAGGGATGGGTTCTACCAGCAGAGAGTATATAGGACTCCAGGTCAGGGGACACATGCAATCTGAGGTTGTCTTCTTTAAGAGTCAACACCTTTAAGAGATAGCTACAGATTTTAAATAAAATCATCCTGAGAGGGAATAGAAAGGAAGCAAGAACAAAAAGTCCAAGACTAATCCTGGGAACACTGAAAAGTAGAACAGGAAACATGGCAGGTAATAGTACAAAAAGTACAGAGTTCAGCCCTGGCTTTCAGTAAACCAGCTGAGATGGGACCTAGAGTAAGCATAGTTTTTCTGAAGATGAGATTTAGTGCAAGTGTAGCTTTTCTGCTGATTCTAATCCATTATGTCTCTTAAGAGGAGAAGAGAAGGACAGTATATCAGACGCTGCCAGTCAAATCTGTAGTGAGAGGTTTATAAGCTTTAGCCATGAATTGTTCAGGTTGTTTTCTACCTAATTACCCCCAAAACAAGAACACTTTGGTTCCTACAAAGGAATGTACAGTAGCCAATGGTATGGTTGTATGCACCCAAGCATTATGGACACCTCTTAGAACTCAGATTGGTCCAGAAATGTGAGAAGGAGTGACAGAAAAAGCAGGATGATATAACTGTTGCTTACATGCTCTCTCTGATAGTCAAGGGCTAGAGCAGTCACTCGATCCTGGGATCCATAAGACATAGGCCAACCTGCAATTGCTAAGAGAAAATTGCGACAAGGAACTCTTTTTCAAAAACAGGCATCAGGAACTAGTTCTGCCAATCTATTTGAGGTGACTTCTCCAATTCAGGGAGGGCAATGTGACCCCTTATGGTCCCTCAGTGGTAAGGATAGAGAAATGCTTTTCATTCAAATATTTAAACTAACCCCAGCTATGCAAAGTTAAAACAGCAAACCTAACACAGTGGAGTTGAGCATCCAAAACTTTTTCTCACAGTCAATAAAACTCATTGTATATGAAAATTCAGACAATTTCTATAGCACATATCAACCACTTTGAAAAAAAATGTATTTACAGAAATTTATTTTTTTATTTACTACTAATGGCCTTCCCAAATTGTCATTTATGGAAACACTTTTAAGATTTCTATTTGGGCAAACCAGTCCTCCAGGGGTTTTTCCAGCATGACCTTGGAGAACAGGCGAATGCTAAGTATAGACTGCAGAAAGACAATGACTAGAGTATCTCCAATATCTTGGTCAATATTCACCAGAAATTGGTCAGAAAGTTGGAAACATAAGCTGCCTTTACAGTTATGATATCAATCTACCTAATAGCTAGTTTGTCAAGCAGTCTGTTCATGTCTCTCAGCATTATCTCTCTGTGCCTCAGTTTCCTCATCCTTAAAATATGGATAATAACTATACCTGCCCAAGATGGTTGCTGAGAGAGTTAAATAAAGTAACATATGAATACATAGTAAGTGCTCTATAAAAGTTTGCTCTTATTTTCATTGTTGAAATCAATAAAGCACCATTTGATCTGAAAATCATGTGGGTTAAAAAAATTATCTTAAGGAAAAACAAGTCCTCGTGGTAAGTACAGCTTTTTATTTTTCCTTAATTATAAAAGATGCTAAAGTCCAAATGCAGTCTGTTTAATGAGGCTGGTACACTTTGCCTCTTTAGCAATACCTGAATTTAAGCCTAAATAGATGTCATGGAATTCCATTGAGTGGGGCAGTTTGCTGTGGAGAACAGCAAGGACTTTGGAATAAATATGAGTCTTGGTTCCCTTAATTTTCAGCTTTAAAAAATTGAGAAGGTTTCTTAACTCTAATCCCCATTTCCTCGTTTGTATAAAAGAAACCATATCATTGACCTGGACAGGTTTTTATAAAGATTTCAAATGAGATAATGTAATGGGTCTCAACTAATGTGTTTCTTTTCCCCTCTCAGTAGCAACACCAAAACTTGTCATGAGGTTTGTCACTTACGGAACATTTGTCTAAGGTCAAGAGCTAAGAGTTAGCAATGCTGAACTACAGTCCTCACATATCAGCAAATCCACGATTTTTCTTCTTTCCTGTTATTTACTGCATTTAAATCTTGAAAATCCTAGTAGTGGTGGGGTGGAGGGGGTGAACTTACTATAAAGTTCATTCAAGATTGAGTGCAGAAATGAAGCACAGTGTTTGTGCCAGGGATCACCAACTCAAATATCTACAGGGATCATCCCGGTAATAGAAATAAGAGAAGCAGCTTGGGCATAACAGTAGGAAAAGATGAGAATGATGGCAAACTCTAAAGCGAGCAGTGGCAACAACTTGGTTTACCCCAACTGTCTCCATGCAAGGATGTAAGCCCAATGATGCTAGAGCTTTTAGTTTTTGAAGAGAAGCCAGAAGTTGTTTGTGAAATTTTCTGAATTCTAAACATTAGCATCAAGTTCGATTAAAAACAAACACACCCTATAGGCCAAATAAGAATCATTTGTGCCAAATTCAGTCCATGGACCATCAGGTTGCAACTTCTCATTTATAAATCATCATGATTTATAAACCACATGGCTGACCCTGGCAGAATCTCAAAAGTGGTCATGAACGTGAGCCACTTCTTCATTACCACCCATAACTGGTTTTGTTCTCCTTCGCTTTGTACTCAACAAACACCAACAAAATAAAGCTAAGGAGAACTTGGAAAGGACATTTCAGAGAAGTAAATTTGCCTGGACTAATGATCTCCAGGGAGAAATTTTACCCAAGATCTCGTCAATGCTTTCTTCGACAAGTCCAGGGACCCTTGGTATTGAAAGATCTGTCTTCTGATGCAGGGCAAAGGACAAAAGAGACAGGCCAGCCTGGACTCAGGAGTTCCCCCTCCCTCACGACGGCCAGCTAACCTTGACAGGAAGAGAGGTGGAAAGTGCCTGGCTCTCAAGCCCACTGACATTTGGAATCACAGGTGCAGCCCAGAGCCCTGGCAGGATTTGGCCAGGCGTTCCTGTGACAAGCTGGGGCCTGAAAGGGAGACTCCCCTGACAGTCTGAGCAGGAGGCTGAATCTGTCACTGTCTGGCTGGCAGGGCTGAAAGGGTTGTCTGCGGCAAGAGCTGATACCGGATGCCTGAATAGGGACTCAGTCAAGCAGGCATTTGTCACAGAAAACTCCCCCAACTCATATTTCACAGAGTGATCAGAAGCGGTGAGGCAGGGACCAAAGTGGCTCATCACCAGAATATTAGCAATGGTGGTTATCACAAAGGGACAGCTGGGCTGGAGGCCAGGGAAGCCCTCTTTGGAGACAACACATGTTCAATGCCCCCAGGGTGGTGGGGATAGAGCCAGCCAGGCCCCACCCCACTACTTCCATACATCAATGCATGGTGCTCCAACACTACCACCATGAGGCTCCAGAAGGAAGGAGCTCAGGGAGGCTATTCCACATTGGGAAGAAGGCACACAATTCCAGGTAATTCCAGCCTGGGGGCTGAGCCCTGCCTAGGTTCCTTTCAGACCCAGGCCCCTAGCCTTTTGTTTCAACAGCCTCTCCCAAGTCAAAGCAAGGCAAGCCCTTTGGGATTTATCCTCCTAAAGAAGACGGTTTTATTTTTCTTTCATCATTGTTACTCTACAATGTGCTCTATAAGGCTTGATTCTGTGCTCAATCAGTGTGATTGAATGGAAAAAAAATCAAAGAGGCAGAGGAAATGCCATCAAATTTAGTTTTGTCTCAGGAGTTTCACAGAGAAATGAGTTATTTCCTCCTCTCTTTCTAATTATTTTGGCAAGGCAATTGAGGGTAGTGATTACTGCCAAGTGTCTCATCCATTAACTAAGTTGCCCCTACAACCATGTGCCCCAGCCCACCCAGCGTTGTAAGTGACTTACCTCCTTTGGGAAACTTGAGAACCAAGTTATAATAATAAGCAAGAGATAAAACTTTTTTCAGAACAACCACAGCTTTTTCAAATTCAAAAGCCAGATGATTTTGACATGACTAGCAGATTCATATAGTTGCAAATTGGGCAATAATTAGATAATTGCTAAAATACTCACAAATATCCAGGTATGGTGACAGCAATAATATGAAGAATAACCACTAACATTTATTGGACACTTTGCATGTAATAAGCCTTCTTTGAAGCATTTGCATGGACATTACTGAGTACTCACAATAACCAATGAAATGGGAATATTATTAACCACTATTACAGGGGAGGAAACAAAGGTCCAAAGGCTTTATTAAATTGTCCAAGTCACACAGTTTGGAAAAGGCAGAATTGGGATTACAAGTTAAGAGTATCTTATACATCATTAGTACTAAAAATGTATATTGATTAGAGCTGCTGAAGGCTAGTGGTGAAATAACTCAATTTAAGTCAGAACACCTTGACTTAGTCTTACCATGTAAACAACACCTACCAGTTAATGAGAAAAAGATGACTACTCTAATGGAGAAATAAGCAAAAAATAGAAAATCCACATAAAATTTTGACAAGTGAACAAAAATTCATGTAAAATCTCACTAGTACTCAAATATTTGAAAATTAAAATGACATGATATGCTATCTTTTACCTATCAAATTAACGACTATCTCTCAAAGTTATAACATCCAGTATAGGTGAGAGTGTACTATCAGCCACCCCTGGAAGAAGTGTTGATTTTTATATTTCTAGGGGCAATTTGATAATGTATGTCAAAATCCTGAAAGTGGTTTATATCCTCTATGGTAGTTTAAAACATGGCTATAAATTCTTTGGTACTCTTCACATTAAGTAGTGGCGTCTGCATCCCTTCCGTATGAACTGAGGTGTGATTGTGACTGCCTTGACCAACAGAGTACGGCAAAAGTGATACCACAAGACCTCTAAGGTTAGTTGATACAGCCCATGAACCTCTGCCTCACACCACTGGACTCCTCACTCTTGGAGCCCTGAGCCATTGCCTAAGTACAATTATACAGAGAGGCCATATCTAGGAACAACAGTCGACAGTCCTAGCTAAGCCCAGTCTTGGCGTCTTATCAGCTGAGGTCCCAGCATCATGGAGCAGAGAACAATCATCCCTACTGTGCTCTTTCTGAATTTTTAACCCACAGTATCCATGGGCATAATAAAGTGGTAGTTGTTTTATGTCACTAAGTTTTGGGTCAGTTTGTTAAACAGCAATCAATAAGTGGAACAAACTCTTATGCAGTAATTATTCTTCCGGAAATCTAAGGGAATAATTAGAGATACGCAAAAAGAATTATGAACAAAGATGTTGAGTGCATCATTGTTTAAGACAGGGGAAAATTTAAAACATAAATATGAACAATAAGGATTTTTTTCATCCCCATGATGAAAAGCAGCAATTTAAAATCAGGTTTTGGAAGACTATTTAAGAATATAAAAAGTCCTCAAAACATATTGTTTAAAGGGGGGTTTTTAAATAACATAGATAGCAGAAGTTTTCTCTTTTTTTGAGACGGAGTCTTGCTCTTTCACCCAGGCCTGACTGCAGTGGCGCTATCTAGGCTCACTGCAAGCTCCGCCTCCCGGGTTCATGCCATTCTCCTGCCTCAGTCTCCCGAGTAGCTGGGACTACAGGCGCCCGCCACCGCACCCGGCTAATTTTTTGTATT
Organism: Homo sapiens; assembly: GCF_000001405.40. Classification (NCBI taxonomy): domain Eukaryota; kingdom Metazoa; phylum Chordata; class Mammalia; order Primates; family Hominidae; genus Homo; species Homo sapiens. The sequence goes on from NC_000005.10 coordinate 118,695,505, forward strand.
TTTAGTAGAGACAGGTTTTCACCGTGTTAGCCAGGATAGTCTCGATCTCCTGACCTCATGATCCACCCACCTCGGCCTCCCAAAGTGCTGGGATTACAGGCATGAGCCACCGTGCCCGGCCCAGAAGTTTTCTTTGGAGAAAAAAATAGACATATACCTATGCATTAAAATTAGATAAAAACACTCCAAAATTTAAACAGTAGCTATTTCTGAGTTGTGATATTATAGATGATTTTGATTTTATTCTTTATGATTTCCTGTACTTCTAAAATTTCATAAAGTTCATAAAGGGAGTAGACAATTTGCTAATGACCTCAATAAATCTGTGTAAATTTTAATACATTTTCAGAAGACCTGAACTCAAATTCCAGCAAGCTCTATTTCAATGTCTTTGGAAAAACACATTATCTGTCTAAACTTTGATTTCCTCACCTGGAAAACCAAAATAACAATATTTACCTCAAATGATTTTGGGGGGTGGGGTTTAGGATAGATAGGCTACTTTTAATTTTTCCTAACTAGGTATCAGAGAAAAATCTATATGCTTAAAAAACCTTCTTTTTAAAATTGATAGATAATAGATGTACATATTTTTGAGTACTTATGGGATGCATGTGATTTTTCTTAAAAGACAGGGTCTTACTCCATCACCCAGACTAGAGTGCAGTGGTGCAATCATAGCTGACTGCAGCCTTGAACTCCTGGGCTTAAGGGATCGCCCCTTTTCAGTCTCCTTAATCATTAGGCTTATAGGCATGAGCCACCATGCCCAGCTGATACTTTGATACATGCACACCATATGTAATGACCCAGTCAGGGTAATCCCCTCAAATGATTTTTATGAGGTTAAACTATACAGTAACTATGCAAGTTCCTAGAATTCATCTATGTACCTAGTGGGCATTTAATAAATGCTTTTTTAATTCGCTGATAAGCATTTTGTCCAACTTTTCAAACACAGTCAGAATGAGCATTTAAAATAAATATCTACAGCTCTCAAGTGAATAAGAAAACACTAGGGCTTGGCTTCCTATCTCACTGCTCATCCCAAACAAGTAGGATTTGGTGAAAGCTGCAAAACACTCTACCTCTCCCCACCACATTGACACTGATGACAGACAGCAAGCTTTTCTGCTATGACAAGTAGATGGAAAACAAAAACTTGGGGTAAAATGAACAGGTTGGTCAGTAATTGATTTTGCTCTCTGCATGTGGAAGCCATTTCTGCTATTTTATCTGTTCCCACCATGACTTATGAAAGTTTTAGACCAAAAGCCTTCCAATGAGCTGTGAAGAGCTACCCTTTTTGTCTTTCCAGTATATCTTCTCCTTGTTATCATCCCTCCTTCCCATTTCCATGCCACATGCCAATTATTGATAATAGTTAATAATAACAGGAGCTAATACCTGTTGAGAACCGCTCTGTGCCAGGCACTGTTCTCAGCACTCTGTTTGTATTAACTCACTTATCTTCAGCATAATGCTACCACGCAGGTAGTATTATCATCCCTGTTTCTTCTATAAGGAATCTGAAACACAGAAGAGTTAAACAACTTTCCCAAAGTTACACAGCTAGAAAGCAAGGAGACAAATCTAGTCAGTCAAGCTCCAGGGCACATAGTCTCTAACTCTTATCTATACTGCTCTGTGTAATTAATATAATGACTTGATCCACTATACAAAACTTGGCATGAGGAGAAGAGCAACAGATAACCTTTCACTAATCTTATTAGCAGGATGAAGCTCAATCCTACAGCCTAACTCAAGCACTGCTCCTTCAGTAATGGTATTATAAGTAGAGAAAAGGAACAATTGCTCTTCCACACTGACCCCTGGGTTGCCCCCCCTCATGACACTATCTTTAGTAGGACCCAAAGCTCCTTGGATATGTCCTATTAATGCCTATGCCCTGTGTCTGGTGCACCATCTAGCCCATCTTAGGGCTTAATAAGGTTTTGTTTAGTTGAACTGAAGAGGGCCTACCCAAATAGGCAGTTTCTACCTAATTCTTGTCTCCCAAGAGTTTCTCTTCAGAAGAAACACACACACATACCACACACACTCACTCACAATGATGAATTGTGAAAAATAAATGCTATTCCATCTAGCGTGAAGTGGTCTGGGTATGGAGTTAATGCCTTAGGAAACTCTAACATCTAATCTTTAGGAATGAGTGGAGATTGATAAATGACATCCCTAATCCCCACCTAGGCTTTGAATCAATTAAGTTATAACAAGAATAAGACAGGTGGAATCCAAAACACAGTATCACCATCTTACTGATTAAGCTGATATTGGAGAATGTGATTTATATTTTTGAGTCAATGAGTTTTACATACCTGAAGTTCATCCTTAGACAGACACATATACGCAGTTCTAGGAAGTGTTTTCCCCTGGTTGGAGAACTCAGGCTTTCTATAGTCAGGTCTGTGCCTAAAAAGAAAAGACAGATTGGAAGCCCATGCCCATTATCTGTTTCCAAACATACAAATGAAACTAAGCCACTCTTCCTCCCCTGTTGAAGAGTAAATGAAAAGATAGTAAAGGCCATAGAATTTTGGCCCTCTCCCTTCTAGTACTCTGAGGTGAATGAGAACCAGAAAGTCATGAAGAGAAGGCTTTGGTAGGAATGATAACAGCTAGTAAATTTCATCATTGAGTTGTCCGCTTGGCTATCACAAATGATCTACATTCCTATTGCTCACTTATCTGTAGAATGTATATAGTTGCATTTAATATCAATAATTTAAAATGTTCAGTTTTAAGTTTGTGCTGCAAATCCAGAACTAAGTATTCCATCAAGTTCAACCCTACTTCTTTTCATGTCATACAGCCCTGACCCAGGCTGTAAGCTCCTTGAAAATGCAGCTCCTTTTACTTCATGGCATTCCTTAGAATACAATGCGTATGATAATTTATTTACAAAGGTTTTTCCATCAATGCATGCATGAAGAAAAAATAATAAACAAAAAATAAATCTCATTGGCTCTTCAACATGTAGTTCAAGGAGGAAGAAAATAGAGGAAGCCACAACTTACAGATAGACTGTGTTCAACTTATTCATTTATATGTCAGTTTGGGGAGATAGGAAAAGATTTTCCTATAGAAGGTCTGAAAGGTAGGTCTTTTGATACAAAAGCACACACTCACACACACACACACACACACACACGCACACACAAAACACTAAAGTAAAATTTATCTAAGGTTCAGATAATAGCTCACTCCATAAAGAATACTCTGGGCATTTCATTTTTGGACCTAATATAGGACACTAAATGTAAAGAATCAAACCTTGGCAAGTGGATATGGGGAATAGCAGGAGAGGGGCAGTGTGCTGTGGTCCTGGAGACTGGAAGAGCAGTCCAGGGTTTTCACTTCTCCTCCCTCCTTCCATCCTTGCTACTTAGGTCAGCTTCCTGCTCCAAATCATGCCCAAGCCAATCACTAGAGGTCAGTAGGAAGCCAGAGAAGGGGGCGACAGGTGGGAGGAGAGGTCCGTCAAGAGAAAGAGAAGAAGGAAAGTGGAAGAACACACTGTTGCCCAGCAATGGGAAGGAGAGTTCCTGCAGCCAGGCTTGGCTGGGGAGGCCTTTCTTATGTGAGATGCATTCACTGAGCAAACAAGGCTGAAGTAAACCTCTTCAAACTGATGTGAATTCTAGCATGTTAAGATATTTAATGTAGTGACTAAAAACAGACTGGAGTGAGTCAGATCTCAGTTCCAAGGCCACTACTTACCGCCTATAAGACCCGGGCAAATAATTTCACCTGTGCTTGGTACACAGTGATCACTAAATATTTACTCCATGTCAGGCACAGCTCTAAGCACTTTCTGTGTATCATCTCATTTAGTTCTCAATAAAATATGCTTCAGAAACTAAGGCCCAGAGAAGCTAAGTGTGGATGCTTATGCAGCCAGATCCCCCTTCTCTGAAAAACCTGCTGCCCCAGCAGCAGATGGAAACACAGCTGATGGAGAGCCTTTGGTTCCCTACCCTCCAGAATGCTTCAGCTGCAAAGTGCCCTTGTTCACAGTCACACCCCTTTCCACAGTCACCCAATTCCAGTGACTGATCAGTATGGCGGTAATTCCACTCAACTTGAAATAATTCTGAAGGGCCATTCCAGCTCCAGAGCCCCACTGCATGGCCACTGGAATAGCCCTTTACCCAATCTTGCTTTGTCCTCCCCTTCCCTTAGATATTGGGCCAAGGACATTCCCAAATAAATGACAGGCAAACTAAACTCACTCGGAGTCTGCTTTCTGGAAAATCCAACCTGGAACACCAACTAACTTGCCCAAGGACCCAAGGACCCAAGGACCCATAGCGAGGATACAGACACAAGCAGAATGACATCAGAACCTCCTCGCCCAACTGCTCCACTCAGCTGTCTCCTATGGTTAACCATTACTACCTCCTTACCCTAAGACTCCTACCACAACCTATACATCCTCTCTTACTTAGGCCTGGCTTTTCACTGGGAAGATGGCTCAAATAAAGATTTTGCCTCCAAACTGCCATACAGAATTTTAAGTAAACAAGACAAAGCCATCTGCTTTCTGCCTGTAGGGAATAGATCTTATATTAACAGAATCTCTCCTAACTCCATCTCTCTCTCCTTTCTCAAAGTATTGTCAGTGGCATGCCAAGTCAGTGGTACAGCAACAGGTTGAGATTTCCTGAGGCCCAGAACTGAAAATTAGAAGAAGAGAAACTAAGGAAGTCTGCAGAGCAAGCTCCCTCTTTGGCTCTCCCAGCTGAAAACGATGCTTTTTTTTTTTTTTAATTTAGTGAGAGGTTGTCCCCCTAACCTATTCTTTTAAAAACAAGCTACTTTTCTAAAAGATTATTTTCTACAATGCACAGGCTAAAACATTTTCTGAATTAGCATTTTCTTTCACTCAGTTAGTATTCTCATTTTAAATAGCCCAGTTTCCACAATATAGAAGACCAAAATTGCCTAATGTTGATTTAAACAACTATGCATTCCCAATATAATACTTTGGTTTGCCTGTTTCTGCTGGAAGATTATAGCCACCTCTTCTACTATAACAGTATTTTATTTACAAACACGCCACACTGCCTAAAATTAACCTAATTAGCAATCTAGAGCACCTGATTCTCATAGCATTTTCCCATCTTCTAGCCTTTCAGCTGCACTGCTCTTAGTTGTCAATGTAAAGCTATATCCAAAAACTGTGAAAGTATAAATGGAAACTGGTCTTGACCACAGAAAAAACAGTCACATCCCCTCCATTTTCTGGCATGTGACTTTAAAAAAAAAAAAGTTTTGCCTCTCATTAAAGAGTATACATTTCCAAGTTCCATGGCTGCCAGGAGCCTCTGGATAATCCAACATGTCACCTTTCATGCGATTTCCTGGTGTGCTGGTAATCAGGATGGGGCATTACCGCAAACCCCATCCTAGATCTGCTGCTGCTTTGTGGAGTAATGGTTTTCGGCCATCATACATTGCATGTTCACCTTGCCTCTGATTGTTCTGGTCATGTCAGTGATGTAGCTTTGATGCAGAGATTGCATTGGAGTAAAGAGGAAAAAGTAGCAAAAATGAGAGAGAAGGATTAGCAGCTCAAAAGCTTTGAAAATCTTCATTTCATTGAAATGAAAACATGCCTTATCTACCGTCTTTAGACATTGCTGATCACATTAATTCCAGATGAAAAGTAAGTCAGTGGGTGTCTTTTTTTTTTCATGCTGGTGAAGTTTTTCTACAGGGAGTCTGTAAAGGAAAACTCTCTCTCCTAGTGCTCCTAGGCAAAGCATTGAAGTACAATCCCACTGAAATCAAAGTGACAGCTAGAAGGCACTCCTAATCACCAGCTCTCTGAGTTCTTTCAAGACTTGAATACAACTGTCAATTACCAAGTTCTCTTTGTAGGACAGGCAAGTAAGAATGAATTAGAGGTTTAAATCAAATTTGCCAAAAAGACAGAGCTACCTTTTCACATCTGATAGCAGTATCAAATGGCAGACCCAAGAACCAATGGTAAACTAAGACATTAGGAAAACATCATCAAAGCAACTGTAAAATAAATTATTAAAATGTATTTAATGCAAGATCACATGGCCACAGTTACCATATTTTCCAAACCAAAAATGAGCACATATCCAATACATAGTCTAACCATAACTCTTCAATGAATGACTGTTGAATACTAGGCACCACTCTCAACCCTGCCCAGGCAAGTCCAAATCCAGTGGGGTGGTCAAATAATGAAGTAGTAAACAAAACAAGTAAATTCCCGGCTTTATGGAGGTTACATTCTAATAACAAATAGATATACAACATAATATTCCATAATTGTAAGTGCTATGAGAAAAATGAGTATCATTGTCACATCTCTTTCATGCCCTTCACATTGAAATCACATCTGAATCATTGGAAAACAGTGTAAAGGGCTAAGAATTGAACAAAAAAATGCTAAGAATTAAGAAATTCCAGCATTCCTTTGGAAGGAGGGGTGAGGGGGAGCTGAAGGGACTCATTCTCTGTGTAGTCATCTATCACATCACTGATTGAATGAGGGAGCTGCCTACACACTCAGTCCAGGATCCTTCAATGCCAAGTCACATCTAAATCAATCTAGACTAGAGAGAATCTATTCCACTTTTAATGTTTTACATGATGTATTAGTCATTTTCACACTGCTGATAAAGATAGGGCAATTTACCTCAGACTGGGCAATTTACAAAAGAAAGAGGCTAAATTGGACTTATAGTTCCATGTGGCTGGGGAAGCCTCACAATCATAGTGGAAGGCAAGCAGGAGCAAGTCCGTCTTGCACGGATGGCAGCAGACAAAGAATGAGAAAGACACAGAAGCAGAAACCACTGATAAAACCATCAGATCTCATGAGACTTACTACCATGAGAACAGTATGGGAAAAAACAGCCCCCATGATTCAATTATCTCCCACTAGGTCCCTCCCACAACACATGGGAATTATGGGAGTACAATTCAAGATGAGATTTGGGTGGGGACACAGAGCCAAACCATATCATTCTGCCCCTGGCCCCTGCCAAATCTCATGTCCTCATGTTTCAAAACCAATCATGCCTTCCCGACGGTCCCCTAAAGTCTTAACTCATTTCAGCATTAACTCAAAAGTCTCATCTGAGACAAGGCAAGTCCCTTCCACCTATGGGCCTATAAAATCAAAAGCAAGCTAGTTATTTACTAGATACAATGAGGGTACAGACATTGGATAAATACAACTATTCCAAATGGGAGAAATTGGCCAAAACAGAGGGGCTACAGGGCCCATGCAAGTCCAAATCCAGTGGGGCAGTCAAATCTTAAAGCTCCAAAATGATATCCTTTGACTCCATGTCTCACATCCAGGTCACGCTGATGCAAGAGGTGGGTTCCCATGGTCTTGGCAGCTCCACGCCTGTGGCTTTGCAGGGTACAGCCTCCCTCCCAGCTGCTTTCATGGGCTGGCATTCAGTGTCTGAGGCTTTTCCAGGTGCAAGGTGCAAGCTGTCAGTGGATTTACCATTCTTGGCTCTGGAGGACAGTGGCCCTTTTCCCACAGCACCACTAGGCGGTGCCCCATAGGGACTCTGCATGGGGGCTCTGACCCCACTTTTCCCTTCCGTACTGCCCTAGCACAGGTTCTCCATGACAGCCCTGCCCCTGCAGCAAACTTCTGCCTGGGTATCCAGGCATTTCCACACATCTTCTGAAATCTAGGCGGAGGCTCCCAAAACTCAATCCTTGACTTCTGTGCACCTACAGTCTCAACACCACATGGAAGCTGCCAAGTCTCATGTCTTGCACCATCTGAAGCCATGCCCTGAGCTCTACGTTGGCCCCTTTCAGCCAAGGCTGGAGCAGCTGGGATGAAGGGCACCAACTCCCTAGGTTGCCCACAATTTGGGGACCCTGGGCCAGGCCCATGAAACTATTTTGTCCTCCTAGGCCTCCAGGCCTGTGATGGGAGGGGCTGCCGTGAAGACCTCTGACATGCCCTGCAGACATTTTCCCCATTGTCTTGGGGATTAACATTTGGTTCCTCATTACTTGTGCAAATTTCTGCAGCAGGCTTGGCTTCAATTTCTCCTGAGAAAATGGGATTTTCTTTTCTATCACATTGTCAGGCTGCAAATTTTTCACACTTTTATGCTCTGTTTCCCTTTTAAAACTGAATGCTTTTTAACAGCACCCAAGTCACCTCTTGAATGTGTTGCTGCTTAGAAATTTCTTCTGCCAGATCCCTAAATCATCTATCTCAAGTTCAAAGTTCCACATATCTCTAGGGCAGGGGCAAAATGTCACCAATCTCCTTGTTAAAACATAACAAAAGTCACCTTTGCTCCAGTTCCCAACAAGTTCTTCAACTCCATTTGAGACCATCTCAGCCTGGACATTATTGTCCATATGGCTATCAGCATTTTGGGCAAAGCCATTCAACAAGTCTCTAGGAAGTTCCAAACTTTCCCACATTTTCCTGTCTTCTTCTGATCCCTCTAAACTGTTCCAACCTCTTCCTGTTACCCAGTTCTAAAGTCACTTCCACATTTTTGGGTATCTTTTCAGCAACACCCCACTCTCAGTACCAATTTACTGTATTAGTCCACTTTCACACTACTGATAAAGACATACCCTAGACTGGGCAATTTTTAATTGGACTTTTAGTTCCATGTGGCTGGGGAAGCCTAACAATCATGGCAGAACGCAAGGAGGAGCAAGTCCCATCTTACATGGATGGCAGCAGGCAAAGAAGGAAAGAGAAAGACGTAAAAGCGGAAACTCCTGATAAAACCATCAGATCTTGTGAGACTTACTCACTACCATGAGAACAGTATGGGGGAAACTTCCCCCATGATTCAATTATCTCCCACTGTGTTCCTACCACAACACTGGGAATTATGGGAGTACAATTCAAAATGAGATTTGGGTGGGGACACAGAGTCAGAACATATCACCTGGTATTACAAAGAGACTGGAACCCATTAGACAAAAAAAAAAAAAAAAAAAAAAAAGGCCCTTAATGAAATTATTTGGGCCCATCGAATGAATTGGAGACCAGAGAAAATAATGAAAAGATTATTAAACAAGGAGAAGGGGATCTCAATCTCTTCCTCCCAAACTTTCAAAGCCAACAGTTATTTCTGTCATTGAAAAAAAATGAGAAGAGTCACATGACTTACAGGCTTTAGAATGAGATCTTACTAAATAAAACATCATTGCTAAATATGGTCTTCAGGCAGCTAGAAGGAGGCAATAAGCAGGTATTCATACTTTTGCCACCTTAATACGTGGTACTACTTGTCTGAATTCTCTCTTTAATGTTCTCTCTCCTCCTTTCCTCTTGGCTGCTGTGGCTTGCACTCAAATTGCACAGAAGTAGGGTTAGCAGGCTGGGACACTGTCTCATTTAAATAGTTTAGTCACTGGGGATAATGAACATGAAAAAAATGATTTTTTTTCTCTCTTTCTGTATATACATTCTCCAAGGATCTTTATCCATTCTTAAGGTTTTATCCATCATCAATGTCTAGCTCCAGATATCTGTTTCCAAGAACATTTGAAGATGCCATACTAGGATATGAAATTCAACAGGGCCAGTACTGGGTTAATGTTCCTGGCTATGCCTTGCGTTCTGCTTTCTTCATGTATCCTGTATCTCCATGAAAGGCACCATCATCATGTCTAAAACCACCCACCACCCAAAAAACCTACAACACACAAAATGTGCTAATCTACTATGTAACAATACTTGAAAACCACAAAAAAAAAATGCTGCTGGAAGAAATTTTAAAAGACAAAAGTAAATGGGAAGACATCTCACGTTCTTAAATTGGAAGACTTAGTATTGTTAAAATATCCATACTATCCAAAGCAATCTGCAGATTCACTGCAATCCACGTCAAGGATGGTAGCCATAAAAAGATGAGAAAAGGGACAAATGGGAGGCCACATTATTAGAAAAGAACTTTGAAAGAACTTAAAAGTCTTGGAGACTTGATTGGATTACAGGAAATGAACAGGAGTGAAAAATGGCCACTGGACTTGATATGCAAGCCTTTCTAGTCCTTTTTTCTAAATATCTGAGTTTGGGAAAGGTTGAAGTGTGGGAAGGGATTAATGAAGCATATCTCTATATCTACTTCCACACATCTGTCCCTATTTAAATTCATCCTCTTTAGCCATGCTATTTTTCTCTCTCATTAAAAATGACTTGATTTCTGTTATCTTTCTCAGCTCAGACCAACTGAAAACATAAAAATCAACTCTCTGTTCTAAGTGATTTATAAATATATTGAAATTTTTTATTCTCAGAATTGATGTGTTTAACATATACTTCCCTTCTCCCTGCTCCTTAAACTGAAACCAATCCGCATCAATAACCACCCAATGAATTGTTCAATATTCAAGACTGCATCTTCTCCACATAGTAGGAAGAATGTGGTCTTATGAGAAAATATACACCTCAGAATAATATGGAACATACAGAGAGAACAAACTCCTCTTACCCCAAGGGGAAAAGACATAAAAGATTGCATTGTGCTTTCAATAGACAAACTAGCAAGGCTTGTGCAAGTGATTTTACATAAACAACAAAGAGCTCTGCAAGTATTTCCCTCAGTGCATTGAGCAATATGCCCCAAAGAAACCCTAACCAGAAAGAAAAAGTAGGCGGCTATAACTAAGGGGCACTTGCGTCCCTGCTTTCATGTAGTTTATTTCTTGTAAGTGACCTCTGCCACTTTGGCTTTATGTGTGGGCACTCATCCTTTACAAGCAAATACAATTGTGAGGCATTTTCCTCTGTGTATAGTTAGATAATGAATTCTTCCTGTTGCAAAGTGACCTCAAGAGCCCAAAACCTCATTTCATTTCAATTTGTGCCAATGAAACGCTTGACAAATTGCTCTTTTTAGAATCATGTATAAGTTTGGGTTGTGGGCCTAAGCATTGTTGCTCTTCTGACAAGGACAAATCGGGCTGTAGTATTTGGTCCCTATTCTTTGCAGTGCCAGTGATTACAGGAAAGGCTGGGTAGTATTAGCATTGAGTATTTCTCTGCAATTCATTCATTTTGAGGACAATTACTGAAAAACCACAAAGTACTGAAGGGATAAAATCAGCAAATGGAGACTGACTCTTATATTTAAATATATAATCACACAAAGATGCATACCCAGGAAAAATATTGTTTCAGGAGTATTCTTGGAATATTCGCTATTCCTTATTCTTCAATACAGAAAACTTCATATTTCTAGTCAGAGTTTTTGCAATGTGAGAGATCTAAAAAGAACAATTTTCTACTTGTGCTCTTGGCAAATGCTGAAGCTCTTCTGCTGGAATTCTGTCATCTTTTTTATGAACTCAGATGATAAACCAAATTTGCACATTGTTGATCTAAAGCCCAAGTCTTTAACCTGAGCATAATGAAATCACATTAGGAGACATGCCTGTCCAAACACCACAGTAACAGTTCCAGTGCTGCTTGGAATAGCTGCCATTTGCTCATCTCTTCTCAGCTCCAAATTATGTGAGCTTCACCTGTTCCCATCTCAAATTATCCTATAATTGCCTTTTATATTATAGGGTTATATCAGCCATATCAACTGTACCAACTGGCACCCAGACATCAGGAATATGGAACTGGCTATAACCCTTTGCTCACCTCATATGCTCTGATCAATTCTTACAGAATAGTCTAAGGAAATAAAAGTTTGCCTTAAACCCAGAAATTTACTAAAAGGGTCCTCTAATACATTCTTTAATATGAAGTACTCCTCAAAGTCACAAAATTTATCTCCATGTTATTTGTTTTAAAAAAATACTTGCATAATAAATAAATAAATAATATACTTGTATAATTTGCTATTCATTTACCAGGAACAAATATCAAAATTACATAATGATCATCAGACATTATATTGAAGATTTTTGTCTAGTTATTTGAAAATTAAAAGCTACTTTCAAGCTTCCCAAAATTGACTTGGATCCCCCTTAGCTGTTTGTGAATTCCTGCTATGTTAGTTTCTAAGTCAAACACTATTCCTGCTTATTCTGTTTTCTTAATAAAAGATTATTTGAAAATCAGCTGTAAAAAACCTTTTAATTTAGGAAAAAGTGCTTTAAAATCTTGTAGAAAGTGATTTCTCTAATTGTATGTTTATTATGCACATTCCTTTTAACGGACAAAGTCTTCAGAGAGCCATTAAATCACAAAAGCAATGGGCATGGGGTCAGCAATTCTCCACCCTGACACCTTCAAGTTCCGTGAACTGGGGCAGAAATTTGGCCTCTCTGGACTTGAATTTCCTCATTTTTAAAAACAGGAATAACTGGACTTAATTTCCAACAGTATGGTAGAATGGATACTGTCAACAGCCACCCAGCCCCCTGATGATAACCAAAAAATACTGAATAATATATTAAAAGGATCTTTTAAAATTCAACACTGAGCTGGCAATGAAATAATGACTCATCAGAGGAAAAAAAATAATAAGTGAAAGCTGGAATCCAGGAAAGTAAGGAGAGTTCTGAGGGAGGTTTCTATCCAGAGGATATCTAATTAGCCCAGAGACTTTGAGCTTCAGTTGACAGCTCAGATATAAAATAAGTACATTTAATGTTTAAAGATGTAAAAGAGGACACTTAAATATGAGAGAAAGTTACTATAAAATAAATGAAGACAATCAGAAGAAAACAAAACTAACAAATAAAAAATAATAATTAAAAACTTAAAATCTATACATGAGATCAATAGCACATTAGACACAGCTGAAGAGAAGATTTGCAAGCTAGAAGATAGATATGAAGAGATTATCCAAATCTTGATAGGTATTGCATTGAATCTGTAGATTGCTTTGTGTAGTATAAACATTTTAGTAATTAAAAGAATTGGAAGAATTGTTAATATGTCCCAAAATGATCTACAGATTAACTTCCAGTTCATGAACATGGGATATCTTTCCATTTATGTCTTCTTCAATAGCAGAAATAGACAGAATAATAAAAAATCAATCAAATGTTTAAAAGTATGAAGGATAGACTGATAAAATCTAGTGTAATCTATTAAGATATCAGCCAGGAAAGAGGAAGAATAAGAGAGATAAAATATACAAAGAGAGAATGGTTGAGAATCTCCCAGATTTGAAATAAGACAGTAAATCTCAGGTTCAGGAATTCTATTGAATTACCAGAAAAATAAGAATTGTTTTACTCCACTTCTAGATATATCACAGGGAAACTTGGGGACTGCAAAGAGAAAGAATATATAATATTGAGCCAGAGAGAAAATACAGATTACTTACAAGGGACCTACTATTAAACTGATAGCAAAATCTTCAATACCAACAATAGAAAACAGAAGACAATGAAGCAATATCTTTAAAATTCTAGGAGAATAGAACCACAAGCTAAAATTATGTGCCTTATTTAAAACTCCTTTGAAATAATCACAGGTGAAATACAGATATTTTAGACAAACAAAAACTGAGTTTGCCTATATATACACTTTTGAAAGGAAATCCTAAAGGATGTACTTGAGGCAGAAAGAAAAAATAATGCCAATAGGAAGGTCTGAAATGTAAAATGAAATAGTTCAAAAAGAACATGGCATATATGTGGGCAAATCTAAATAATTCTATAAAACAACAGTATTGTCTAAACTGAAAGTTTAAAAGAAGAAGAGACTAAAATACCATCCAAAAATGGAGTATGAATCAGATGGGAGATAAGCAAAATTAAAGCATCCTTGGATTAATGTATTGTTCTAGAGAAGAGTAGACATTCATTTTAGACAATGTTAAACATCCATATTTTCTAGAGGTTAACCTCTACAAAAATAGAATAATACTCAAGCTAGAGTATGAAGAAGAAAAATGAAAGAAGAAAAAAGACAACAACCCCAAAAGAAGATAAGAAAGGGAAAAAAAAAGAAATACAGAAAAGGATAACTAGAAAGCACAAAACAAATTAGTAGAAATGAAACCAGGACATCTATTATCACAAAGCTTTCATACAGAGGATATTCTCAGACTATGATGCCGTTATGTTAGATGTTAATAACTGAGTGATAAATAGAACAAAATGCATAAGTTTGAAATTTTTAAAACATACTTTTGAATAACACATGTTAAAAATAAACCAGAAAAGTTTAAATTTCTACATATCAAATTATTACATAAAGTATTATGATACAGCTATATGTTACTTAGAAAGAATTATATAGCTTTAAGGACTTTTATTAGAAAAAATGAAAAGCTCAAAATTAATTAAGCATTTGACTTGAGAATTTGGTTAAAAAAAATCTCCAACTACACTCCAAAATATAAATAGAACGTAACTAGATGAGAAATTAACAAACTAGAAAACATAAAACCAATTTATATAAAAAAGCAAAGGTCAAAAATAGTCAAGATGCTCCTAAAGAAGAAGAACAAGGTAGACAGACACCTTATCGGATAGGAATAGGTACCATAAAAAGGAAAATATAATCTTGGCAGTGGATGGATTTCTCTAAACATACATACAGAAACACACACACACACACACACACACACAAACACAGCCACAAGTCATAAAGGAAAAGCTCAACATATTTGACTAAATTAAATAGAGCAATTAAGAACTGCTATTATCAGAAAGATACCATAGACAGGTAAAAGGACAATCTACAAACTGAAAGAAAATTTGTAACACAGAATTGTCAAAGGATTCTTATTTAGAATACACAGAGAACTCTTATACATCAACTAGAATATACAAAACAAAAGTGGGGAAATAGGCCAAGACAGGAACAGTACCTTTATAGAAAAGGAAATACAAGTACCTGAAAGGATGCTCAACCTGAACATCATTAAATAAAAGTAGACCCACACAATAATATTATTTTAGGCTCATCAGACAGGCAAAAATAAAAAAAAAATCTAGAAATGCCAAAAGTTAGCAAGGATGTAAAGCAATAAATATTTATATATTAGTGGGAGTGCAAATGTTTGCAATTGCTCTGGGAAACAATTTGGCGTTGTTTAAAGTGATGAATGATCTGGTTCTGCATTGCCAGCCAGCAGAGTTGAAGCCCCTGCTGCTCAAAATGGGAAATCACGTATTTTATATATGTATGTGTGTGTGCATGTGTGTGTGTGTGTGTGTGTATAAAATAATCTAGCAAGTACTACCACATATATATATACAGTTTACTCCTAACTAGCTATGGCAAAAGACCTGTAGAGTAATTCATTATAACATTATTTGTAATAGGGAAAATAAAGAAATGGCTTCAATATCCATCACCAGTAGATGCGAAGACAAATTGTAGAATTTTTCGTCAATGAAATACTATACAGAAATAGAAAATAATTAACTACAGGTAGCCTCATCAACACAGATAAATCTCAAAACACTAGTAAATTCAGGAAAACTGTAAGTCAAGAGAAATACATATAGTATAAAGACTTATACAGTTCAGGCTGGGCACGGTGGCTCATTCCTGTAATCCCAGCAGTTTGGGAGGCTGAGGCAGGCAGATCATGAAGTCAGGAGATCGAGATCATCCTGGCCAACATGGCGAAACCCCGTCTCTACTAAAAATACAAAAATTAGCTGGGCATGGTGGTGTGTGTCTGTAATCTCAGCTACTCGGGAGGCTGAGGCAGGAGAATTGCTTGAACCAGGGAGTCGGAGGTTGCAGTGAGCCGAGATTGCACCACTGCACTCCAGCCTGGTGCCAGAGTGAGACTCCATCAAAAAAAAAAAAAAAGACACAGTTCAAAACCTGCAAAACTGAACAAATGTTTACATATTCAAACAAACCAAAATAATAATAAACACAAAATTAAGCATAATGGTTACCACTGAGAGACCAAAGAAAGGGGGATGGGCTCTTTGAAGGGCCTTAAAAGGTACTGGAAACTTTCTATATTTCCTGGGTAGGGAAATAGCCAGAGCAGAATGGCAGAACAGGACTCTTCAGTGATCACTTCTTCATAGAAATATCAATTTAAACAACTATTCATACACAAAAATACCTTCACAATTGCTAAGGAAACCAAGGGAGACTTTGCAGTATCTGGTTATAGGAAAATAACAAGAAAGATGCATTGGAAAGGGTAGAAAGGACACTTTTACATTAACCACATCACCCTTCTCCCAACTCAACACTGGGAGAGATATTGTCTAGCTGTGGAAAAGAGAGGGAAGTGAGGGTAAGACTTTACCTTGGACAATAACAAGAGGTCAACCACAGTAAGACCCAGCACCAAGCAGACCCTCATGACCCCCGACTCCAGTCTGGTACCTGCAAACCAAGCCCCCAGACCTGTCCCAGTGCCAGGTGGTAACCTATAACCCCAGTGAGGTGGGTTCAAACCAGTCCACATACCCACTGGCCAATTAGAGCAGCACTGGGCTTCAGGCAACCCTCAGTGGCAGGCAGGCCCCAGTGTCCACAGACTTCAGGTGCAAGCTAGTGATATGCCAGCCTCCTCAGCCATGGGCTTTGGACATGCCCTAGCTCCCTCCACACCAGCCTCAGCAACCACAAGATTCCAGCCCAGTGCCTCACCAGCCACAGTGGTCCTGGGCTTAGGGACCACACCAGACAGCTTGCTCAGACTCTCTGGATAGGCTCACTGTTGAAGGGCTTTCCCAGAAAAAGCTAGTCTGCAAACACTGGAAAAGTACTTACTTCTTTAAATGAGCAAATATCAACAAATGCCCATAGGATCAAGAATAATCAAGGAAACATGGCATACCCAAATGAACAAAATAAGGTGCCAGGGATTGTCCCTTAAAATGGAGATATGTAAACTGGTTGACAAAAAATTTAAAATAACTGTTTTAGGGAAGTTCAGCAAACTTCAATAAAATACAGAGAAACAATTCAAGAAAATGAGAAAAATAATAAATGACCAGAATGAGAAATTTCACAAAGATATGAAATAATGAAAACCCAACATAAATCTTAGAGGTGAAAAATACAATGAAAGATATAAAAATGCAATAAACAGTATCAAGAACAGAAATGATCAAGCTAAAGGAAAAATCTGTAAACTCAAAGATGGATTATTTTAACATATACAGTCAAAGGGAAAAAAAGAATAAAGAATAAAAAGAAATGAAGGAATCTTACAGAATTTATGGCATAACATCAAAAGAGCACTTTTATTTTTATGCTTAGTTTTATTTTATCAGCTTCATTGAAAAACAATTTACATAAATAAAATTCAGTAATTTTAATATACATTTCTATGAGCTTTAAGAAATGTATGCAGTCATGTAAACACCACCACAATTAAGATAGAGAACAGGCTGGGCATGGTGGCTCACATGTATAATCCCAGAACTTTGGGAGGCTGAGGTGGGTGAACTGCTTGAGCCCAGAAGTTCAAGACAAGCCTGGGCAAAATGGCAAGACCCTCTCTTTGCAAAAAATTTAAAAATTAGTCAGGCATGGTGGCATGTGCCTGTGGTCCCAGCTATGTGGGAGGCTGAGGTGGGAGGATCACTTGAGCCTGGGAAGTAGAGGCTGCAGTGAGCTGTGATCATGCCACTGAATTCCAGCCTGGGTGACAGAGCAAGACCCTGTCTAAAAAAAAAAAAAAAATGAGGGAGAGAGAGGAAAAAAAAAACATTTCTACCACTGCAAAAAATTTGTTCATGGTTTTTTTTAGGTCAATGCCCTTTCTCATTCTTGGGCCCTAGCAACTGCTGGTCAGTTTCAGTAATTAGAGTTTTCCCTTTTCCAGAATTTTGTTTAGCATAATGCAAAAAAGCACATTTTCAAGTCACAGGAGTCAAGATGGAGAAGAGAAAAATACAGGCATGGAAAGCTTATTTAAAGAAATAATAGAATAAAACATTCCAAACCTGGAGAAAAATATAAATATCCAAGTACATAAAGGTCAAAAGTCTCTAATCAGATCCAATTAAAACAGGGCTACCTCAAGACGTATTATAATCAAACTGTCAAAAATCAAAGATAAAGAGAGGATCCTGAAAGCAGCAAGAGAAAAGAAGCATTCCCTTATAATAGAATATAAGGGAATTCTGCTTGCAGTGAGCCAAGATCATACCACTGCACTCCAGGCTGGGCAACAGAGCGAGACTCCATCTAAAAAAAAAAAGAATACAAGGGAATTCCAATATTCCCTGGCAACAGACTAACAGAAATTTGACAGCCTGGGAGAGACTAGTATGATATATTCAAAGTGCTTAAGGAAAAAATCTCTCCTCCATTATACAGTATCCAACAGTACACAACAAAGCTGTTCTTCAGAAAATGTTGGAAGAGAGATAAAGACTTCCTTAGAGAAACAAAACCTGAGGAAGTTCATCACCAACAGAACTAAAGGTAGTTCTTCAAGGTAAAAGAAAAGAATGCCAATGAGTAATACAAAAACATCTGAAAAGTATAAAACTCCCTGGTAAAAGTAAGAAAAATGTAAGAAAAAGTAAGAAAACTTTCTTACTGTTAAGAAAAAGTGAGATAAGTTATATATTAGATCACAAGATAAGTCTTCACAATTTTTAAAAGACTGAAATAATATCAAGTATCTTTTCTGACCACAATAATATGAAACTAGAGGTCTAAAACAGGAAGAATTTCAGAAAATTTACAAATACATGGAAATTAACATGTTCCTGAATAACCATGGGTCAATGAAGAAATTAAAAGAAAATTTTAAAAATATCTTGAGAGAAAAAAATGGAAACACAACACACCAAAACTTATGAGATGCAACAAAGCAGAGGAAAGCCTATAGCAATAAATACCTATATAAAAAAGAAAAATCTCAAACATGTTGCACCTCAGAAAACTAGAAAAATAAGAATACATTAGGCCCAAAAGTTAAGAACCCTCACAGAATCAATTTAACCCCCCTGCCACCTCCAGCAGAACAGGTACTGGTATCCATGGATGAGAGACCCATAGATTGTTCACACCACAGGACTCTGTGCAGACAACCCCCAGTACCAGCCCAGAGCCTGGTAGACTTGCTGGGTGGCTAGACCCAGAAGAGAGATAACAATCACTGCAGCTCAGCTCTCAGGAAGCCACATCCATAGGAAAAGGGGGAGAGTACTACATCAAGGCAACATCACATGGGACAAAATAACCTGAACAACAGCCTTCAGCCCTAGACCTTCTCTCTGACGGAACCTACCCAAATGAGAAGGAACCAGAAAACCAACTGTGGTAATATGACAAAACAAGGCTTTTTAACACCCCCAAAAAATCACACTAGCTCACCAGCAATGGATTCAACCAAGAAGAAATCCCTGATTTACCTGAAAAAGAATTCAGGAGGTTAGTTATTAAGCTAATCAGGGAGGCACCAGGGGAAGTCAAAGCCCAGTGCATGGAAATCCAAAAAAAACAAAAACAAAAACAAACAAACAAACAAAAAGATACAAGAAGTAAAGGGAGAAATATTCAAGAAAATAGATAGAATAATGAAAAAACAATCAAAATTCCAGGAAACACTGGACACACTTATAGAAATGCAAAATGCTCTGGAAAGCCTCAGCAATAGAACTGAACAAGTAGAAGAAAGAAATTCAGAGCTTGCAGACAAGGTCTTCAAATTAACCCAATTCATGGTAAAAACTACTTTAAAGTTCATATGGAACCAAAAAAGAGCCCGCATTGCCAAGTCAATCCTAAGCCAAAAGAACAAAGCTGGAGGTGTCACGCTACCTGACTTCAAACTATACTACAAGGCTACAGTAACCAAAACAGCATGGTAGTGGTACCAAAACAGAGATATAGACCAATGGAACAGAACAGAGCCCTCAGAAATAATACCACACATCTACAACTATCTGATCTTTGACAAACCTGACAAAAACAAGAAATGGGGAAAGGATTCCCTATTTAATAAATGGTGCTGGGAAAATTGGCTAGCCATAAGTAGAAAGCTGAAACTGGATGCCTTCCTTACACCTCATACAAAAATTAATTCAAGATGGATTAAAGACTTAAATGTTAGATCTAAAACCATAAAAACCCTAGGAGAAAACCTAGGCAATACCATTCAGGACATAGGCATGGGCAAGGACTTCATCTCTAAAACACCAAAAGCAATGGCAATGAAAGCCAAAATTGACAAATGGGATCTAATTAAACTAAAGAGCTTCTGCACAGCAAAAGAAACTACCATCAGAGTGAACAGGCAACCTACAAAATGGGAGAAAATTTTTGCAATCTACTCATCTGACAAAAAGGGCTAATATCCAGAATCTACAATGAACTCAAACAAATTTACAAGAAAAAAACAAACAACCCCATCAACAAGTGGGCGAGGATATGAACAGACACTTCTCAAAAGAAGACATTTATGCAGCCAACAGACACATGAAAAAATAATCACCATCACTGGCCATCAGAGAAATGTAAATCAAAACCACAATGAGATACCATCTCACACCAGTTAGAATGGCGATCATTAAAAAGTCAGGAAACAACAGGTACTGGAGAGGATGTAGAGAAATAGGAACACTTTTACACTGCTGGTGGGACTGTAAACTAGTTCAACCACTGTGGAAGTCAGTGTGGCGATTCCTCAGGGATCTAGAACTAGAAATACCATTTGACCCAGCCATCCCATTACTGGGTATACACCCAAAGGATTATAAATCATGCTGCTATAAAGACACATGCACATGTATGTTTATTGTGGCACTATTCACAATAGCAAAGACTTGGAACCAACCCAAATGTCCAACAATGATAGACTGGATTAAGACAATGTGGCACATATACACCATGGAATACTATGCAGCCATAAAAAATGATGAGTTCATGTTCTTTGTAGGGACATGAATGAAGCTGGAAACCATCATTCTCAGCAAACTATCGCAAGGACAAAAAAACCAAACACCACATGTTCTTACTCATAAGTGGGAATTGAACAATGAGAACACTTGGACACAGGAAGGGGAACATCACACACCAGGGCCTGTTGTGGGGTGGGGGGAGGGGGGAGGGATAGCATTAGGAGATACATCTAATGTAAATGATGAGTTAATGGGTGCAGCACACAAACATGGCACATGTATACATATATAACAAACCTGCACGTTGTGCGCATGTACACTAGAACTTAAAGTATAATAAAATATATATAAATTAAAAAATAAAAATAAAAAAACAAATTAACCCAATTCAACAAAGCCAAAGAAAAAAGAATAAGAAAATGTGAACAAAGCCTTCGAGTCTGGGATTATGTTAAACAACCAAACCTAAGAATAATCGGCATTCCGGAGGAAGAAGAGATATCTAAAAGTTTGGAAAACATATTTTGGGGAATAATCGAGGAAAACATCCCTAGCCTTGCTAGAGACCTAGACATCCAAGTACAAGAAGCACAAAAATACCTGGGAAATTCATTACAAAAAGATCATAGCCTAGGCACACTGTCATCAGGTTATCTAAAGTTAAGACGAAAGAAAGAATCTTAAGAGCTGTAAAACAAAAGCACCAGGTAACCTATAAAGGAAAACCTATCAGATTAACAGCAGATTTCTCAACAGAAATCCTACAAGCTAGAAGGGACTGGGGCCCTATCTTCAGCCTCCTCAAACAAAACAATTATCAGCCAAGAATTTCGTATCTAGTGAAACTGAGCATCATATATGAAGGAAAGACAGTCTTCTTCAGACAAACAAATGCTGAGAGAATTCGCCACTGCCAAGCTACCACTACAAAAACTGCTAAAGGGGGCTCTAAATCTTGAAATAAATCTTGGAAACACATCCAAACATAACCTCTTTAAAGCATAAATCTCATAGGACCTAAAAAAATGCAATTTAAAAAGCAATAACAAAAAACCAAGGTACACAGGCAACAAACAGCATGATGAATGGAATGGTACCTCATATCTCAATACTAATATTGAATGTAAATGGCCTAAACGTTCCACTTAAAATATACAGAACTGCAGAATGGATAAGAACTCACCAACCAACTAGCTGCTGCCTTCGAGAGACTCACATACAAAAGGACTCACATACACTCAAAGGGGTGGAAAAGGGCATTTCATGCAAATGGACACCAAAAGCAAGCAGGGGTAGCTATTCTTATATCAAACAAAACAAACTTTAAAGCAACAGCAGTTAAAAAAAAGACAAAAAGGGACATTATATGCTGGTAAAAGACCTTGTCCAACAGGAAAACATCACAATCCTAAATATGCACTTAACACTGGAGATCCCAAATTTATAAAACAGTTACTAATAGACCTAAGAAATGAGATGGACAGCAATACAATAATAGTGGGGGACTTCAATACTCCACTGACAGCACTAGACAGGTTATCAAGACAGAATGTCAACGAAGAAATAATGGATTTAAACTATACCGTGGAACAAATGCACTCAACAGACATATACAGAATATTTTACCCAAGAACTGCAGAATACACACTCTATGCAACATCACATGGAACTTTCTCCAAGATAGACCATATGATAAGCCAAAAAATGAGCCTCAATAAATTTAGGAAAATTGAAATTATATCAAGCACTCTATCAGACCACATTAGAATAAAACTGGAAATCAATTCCAAAAGGAACCTTCAAAACCATGCAAATACATGGAAATTAAATAACCTGCTCTAGAATGAGCATTGGATCAAAAACGAAATCAAGATGGAAATTTAAAAATTCTTCAAACTGAATGACAATAGGGACACAACCTATCAAAACCTCTGGGATACAGCAAACGTGGTGCTAAAAGGAAAGTTCATAGCCCTAAACATCTACTTCAAAAAGACTGAAAGAGCACACACTGACATTCTAAGGTCACATCTCAAGGAACTAGAAAAACAAAAACAAATCAAACCTAAACCCAGCAGAAGAAAGGAAATAACCAAGATCAGAGCAGAACTGAATGAAATTGAAACAAAAAATATACAAAAGATAAATGAGACAAAAATCTGGTTCTTTGAAAAGATAAATAAAATTGATAGACCATTAGCAAGATTAATCAAGAAAAGAATAGAGAAAATCCAAACAACTTCAGTAATAAACAAATGAGGAGGTATTACAACTGACATCACAGAAATACAAAAGATCATTCAAGGCTATTATGAACACCTTTACACACATAAACTAGAAAACCTCAAAGAGATGGATAAATTCCTGAAAAAATACAACTCTTCTAGCTTAAATCAGGAAGAATTAGATACACTGAACAGACCGAGAACAAGTAGTGAGATTGAAATGGTAATTAAAAAATTACCAACAACAAAAAAGTCCAAGACCAGACAAAGTCATAGCAGAATTCTACTAGACATTCAAAGAACAATTGGTACCAACCCTTTTGACACTATTCCACAAGATAAAGGGGGAACCCTCCCTAATTCATTCTATGAAGCCAGCATCACCCTAATACCAAAACCAGGAAAGGACATAACTGAGAAAGAAAACTGCAGACTAATATCTTTGATAAACATAGATAAATCCTTAACAAAACACTAGCTAACCAAATCCAGCAACATATAAAAAAGATAATCCACCATGATCAAGTGGGTTTCATACCAGGGATGCAGGGATGGTTTTACCGTATACACAACTCAATAAATGTGATACACTACATAAACAGAATTACAAACAAAAATCACATGATCATCTCAATAGATGCAGAAAAAGCATTTGACAAAATCCAGCATCCATTTATGATTAAGACTCTCAGCAAAATCAGCATACAAGCGACATACCTCAATATAATAAAAGCCATCTATGAAAAACCCACAGCCAACATAATACTGAATGCAGAAAAGTTGAAAGCATTTCCTCTGAGAACTGGAACAAGACAAAGATGCCCACTCTCACCACTCCTTTTCAGTATAGTACTGGAAGTCCTAGCCAGAGCAATCAGACATGAGAAAGAAATAAAGGGCATCCAAATCAGTAAAGAGGAAGTCAAACTGTCACTGATTGCTCACTATATGATCATTTTCCTCGAAAACCCTAAAGACTCCTCCAGAAAGCTGCTAGAACTGATAAAAAAAATTCAGCAAAATTTCTGGATACAATATTAATGTACACAAATCAGTAGCTCTTCTACACACGTACAGACCAAGCTGAAAATCAAATCAAGAACTCAACCCCTTTTACAATAACAGCAAAAAATAAAATAAAATACTTAGGAATATACCTAAACAAGGAGGCAAAAGACCTCCACAAGGAAAACTACAAAACATCGCTGAAAGAAATTATAGATGACATAAACAAATGGAAACACAACCCACGCTCATGGATGGGTAGAATCAATATTGTAAAAATGACCATACTGCCAAAAGCAATCTAGAAATTCAACAAAATTCCCTTCAAAATACCACCATCATTATTCACAGAGTTAGAAAAAACAATTCTAAAATTCATATGGAACCAAAAAAGAGCCCACATAGCCAATGCAAGACTAAGCAAAACAACAAATCTAGAGACATCACACTACCTGATTTCAAACTATACTATAAGGACACAGTCACCAAAACAGCATGGTATTGGTGTAAAAATAGGCACATAGACCAATGGAAGAGAATAAAGAACCCAGAAATAAGCCCAAATACTTACAGCCAACTGAACTTCAACAAAGCAAACAAAAACATAAAGTGGGGAAAGGACACCCTTTTCAACAAATGGTGCTGGAATAATTGGCTAGCCACATGTAGGAGAATGAAACTGGATCCCCGTCTCTCACCTTATACAAAAATCAACTCAAGAAGGGTTAAGGACTGAAATCTAAGACCTAAAACTATAAAAATTCTAGAAGGTAACATTTGAAAAACCCTTCTAGACACTGACTTAGGCAAGGATTTCATAACCAAGAACCCAAAAGCAAATGCAATAAAAACAAAGATAAATAGCTGGGATTTAATTAACTGTAGGGCTTTGCACAGTAAAAGGAACAGTCAGCAGAGTAAACAGACAACCCACAGAGTGGGAGAAAATCTTCACATCCAACAAAGGACTAATATCCAGAATCTACTATGAAAGTCAAACAAATCATCAAGAAAAAAAAAAAATCCCATCAAAAAGTGGGCTAAGGAGATGAATGCAGAATTATCAAAAGAAGATAGATAAATGGCCAACAAACATATGAAAAAATGCTGCACATCACTAATGATCAGGGAAATGCAAATCAAAATCACAATGTGACACCACATTACTTCTGCAAAAATGGCCATAATCAAAAAATCAAAAAACA
The DNA here is from genome assembly GCF_000001405.40 of Homo sapiens. Taxonomy (NCBI): domain Eukaryota; kingdom Metazoa; phylum Chordata; class Mammalia; order Primates; family Hominidae; genus Homo; species Homo sapiens. Next base: position 118,720,709 of record NC_000005.10, read on the forward strand.
GTAGATGTTGGCGTGGATGTGGTGATCAAGGAACACTTCTTCACTGCTGATGGGAATGTAAACTAGTACAGCCACTGTGGAAAACAGTGTGAATATTCCTTAAAGAACTAAAAGTAGAACTATCCATTTGATCCAGCAATCCCACTACTGGGTATCTACCAAGAGGAAAAGAAGCCATTATAGAAAAAGATATTTGCACACACGTTTATAGTAGCAAAATTTGCAACTGCAAAATCATGGAGCCAACCCAAATGTCCACCAATCAAAGAGTCAATAAAGAAACTGTGGTATATATAACTATATCTATATCTATATCTATATCTATCTATCTATGATGGAATACTACTCAGCCATAAAAAGGATGAATTAAAGGCATTTGCAGTGACCTGGATGAGATGGGAGACTATTATTCTAAGTGAAGGAATGGAAAACCAAACATCATATGTTCTCACTGATAGGTGGGAGCTAAGCTCTGAGGATACAAAGGCATAAGAATGATACAATGGACTTTGGGGAATTGGGGGGAAGGAGGGAGGGGGGCGAGAGATAAAAGGCTACAAATAGGGTGCAGTGTATACTTCTTGGATGATCGGTGCACCAAAATCTCACAAATCACCACTAAAGAACTTACTTGTGTAACCAAACACCACCTGTACCCCAATAACCTATGGAAAAATGTTTTAAAAATTAAAAAAAAAAACTGTGAGGCTGGGTGCCGTGGCTTATGCCTATAATCTCAGCACTTTGGGAGGCTGAGGCGGGCAGATCACTTGAGGTCAGGAGTTTGAGACCTGTCTGGCCAAAATGGCAAAACCCCATCTCTAAAAATACAAAAATTAGCCAGGCATGGTGGTGCACACCTGTAATCCCAGCTACTCCTTGGGAGGCTGAGGCACAAGAATCTCTTGAGCCTGGGGGATGGAGGTTGCAGTGAGCCAAGATGGCACCACTGCACTCCAGCCTGATGGACCAAGTGAGACTCTGTCTCTTAAAAAAAAAAAAAAGATAATGTGGTACATATAAACCATGGATTACTATGCAGCCATAAAAAGGAATGAGATCATGTCCTTTGCAGGGACATGAATGGAGCTGGAAGCCATTATCCTTAGCAAACTAACAAAGGAACAGAAAACCAAATACCACATGTTCTCACTTATAAGTGGGAGCTAAATGATGAGAACACAAGGGCACAGAGGGGAACAACAGACACTGGGGCCTACTTGACTGTGGAGGGCTGGAGGAGGCAGAAGATCAGAAAAAAATTACTATTAAGCACTAGGCTTAATATCCGAGTGATGAAATAATCTGTATGGCAAAGCCCCATGACGTAAGTTTACCTACATAACAAACCTCCACATGTACCCCTGAACTTAAAAGTTTAAAAAAAAAAAAGAGAGAGAGAGAGAGAGAAGAACTGAAGAAAATGTGACAATAAGAGAAAACCAGAGATAAATGCCCTGAGTTCTGGAACCGGTAGAGGCTCTGCGTTCCAGAGTTGAGAAAAAGCTTATTCAGATTAAAAATTCCAGCTACTCTAGGCAAATTTAACCAGCTGCCAGGTCTGAGACCTAGGAATTTTCTAGGCATGATCTCACAGAGAGAGAGGTATCTGGGTAGGCCACAGGTAAAACAGGAAATGGCTAAAAAGTAAAACTAGGCTACGTGCAGAGGCAGGCATGAGAAAAACATAAGTGAGAAAAGGCCAGAATGTTGTCCAGAGTGCTTCTACCATTAGTTGTCTGTTGCACTTTTAATCAATGACTGCTGTATGGCCATGGGAGAAGGGAAAATAGAAAAACAGAAAGGGATTTTATATGGTAAGGTTACAGTCTGAAGAAAAGCAAAATCCAGAAGTTGCACACCAGCAACCCTGGCCCACAGAGATTACAGATATGTTCCGGTTGGTCTGAGCGCACGTGCACACACACACAAAATGTAAAAGTCAACTTCTGATTTGAGTAAAAAGCAGAAGATATGACAACACAGGGCCTGCATTACTAAGGGCCATTGGTCTGCTGGATGAGAGGATTCACTGCCAGTTTTGGGTGTGGCAACCTTCTGTAGTCAACTGCAGCCACTGTTCAGATAACCCTGCTCACTCAAGTTACCCATTGTCCTCTGTCGATATTTGACTTTGGTAACCTTGTTTGTACCTTTTGAAGGACACAAGAGATGACCATAAGTAAAAGAAATAAGTCTCCCAAGGTGGATACATGTAAAGGAGTAGAGAGCAGCCTTTCACTCTAAAAATGGGAGAAAACAGCCTCTATCCAAAAGGCTCTGTCCAATTCTCCCAGGTTGTCTGATAGTTTTAATTGTATGTGCATACATTGAATCATTTCCAGCCCAATGAGAGCCATAAAATAGAATCTGTGATTACATAACAGTTTCATTTTGAGAAGTTCAATGACCCTTTAAGTGTTTCATTTTTCTTGTTATTTCTATTGACCTCACTAACATCTGACCTGAGCAGCTGCTCTTTGGGGAGCTGTCATAAATGACCACAAGCTGGTGACAGACAGGGGAAACATAAGAGCAACAGTTCACTGCAGCTGTGGTCTACTTGGAAGTAAAAAACACTGCCAGTCCACTCTAGCAGGCAGACACAAAGAACAAGGAGCTTCTAGAATTAAGACTTAGGACAGGTCAGGGATTCTAAAAGTGCTGCAGTACCGACTACAGGTGTAAATCAAAGCAGATTTCCTTTGCATACTACGGGAAGCAACATGCAGTAATGTTTTGGTCTTTTAGGATACACAAACACACCTAGCATACACTGTCCCTGCAACCAGAGATAACCTAGGTACAAATTAGGAGAGAAGCAAGTACAAATTATCAGGACTTGATGATACCTGCATGTTGATGTTGTATATTGGTACGGAACTCACACTTTGGGGGAAACCCAGAAACCTGATAAAGTGGTATTGATTGACAATTTGCATTTCAGCACAAAGTCTCTGTCTTGTTGAGAGAATCTCAATTTTTTCCACTGAGGCCCAAATCCACTTTAACTGGCCCTGCAGAATGATACCATAAAAGAGAGGACAAGCAGACTAACTTCCATAAACTAAAATTCTCCATGGTTCTACATTAGGTACTTGCAGAAATTCTGAAAGTTTTGTCACTTATTATATGATGCCAAAAAGTGTATGGAGCATCTTATTAATAATCTAGAGAAGTATCAGTTCACGTGGCATTTCTGCCTTTCCCCAATGCCCTTTAGAAGTTGAAAGCAGAACGCAGAGTTACTAGAGCATATGGTCAGGGTGGTCAACTCAGAAACACGTTTTTATCAGTTAGAGAGAATAATACTAGCCATCAGAAGACATGTCATCAAGATCCAGCTCTGCCACTTAATAGCCAAGTGATCTTGGGCAAGCCACTTCAGCTCTCTGAACCTCAGTTTAATCACCTATAAGATGAAAATTTTAAAAACTGAAACACATAATTATCAGAGTCGATGGAGGATCCAATTAAATAAAGCATGAGAGCACATTTTTATAGGGAGTAAAATACTTCACACCTAGAAGAGTAATATTAGTGGGCAGTTTCATACAATGCTTTGCACTTATACCAGACTCACTTCCGCTGCTTTGCAGAAAAGCATGCAACCGATATAGAGAAAATCCCAATGATGGCATCCATTTTCCCAGGGAAAGTCATAGTCATAACATGAATAACATTCAAACCCTGGGTAATATGATCAAAATAGATGAAAGAAGAGTGGAACTGGGCATCATTCCTCTTGAGGTAGCTGAACTTGGCTGGCATTGCATTTCCATAACATCAGCTACCCAGAGCAAGAGAGTCCTCTCCCCATTCTCTATTTTTTGCCACATTAAAACCTAGGACTACACATTTACTGAATATCATGCAAAGTGTTTCCAAAATAAATAATGAATAGTATTGAGGATAATAATAATAATTACATGTAATAATAATTAGAAATAATAATAATAAACTATTATTATTAGTTCTAATCCTCTGAATTAGATTTCTCAAAATTTGAATATTCTGCAACTTCAAGTTTGGGTGTGGAACCAACAGCCATCACATATCCAGTCTGAAATCTGTCATGGAGTATTTCAAAAGGCCTAAGAACCACTGTGACTCTTGGAACTAAATGATACAATGCATTAACTACACTACACCACAGTAAGAATCATTAGATGAAAACACAGGAAGGATTTGAAAAGATGTTTCTTATTCAGATGCTGACTTTCAAGGTATGATGTGCTTTTAACCAAGATATTTTAACTGCTTTGTTTAAAATACTGACATGTGAAAATTTAAAATGATCTCTATTCTCAAGTCTCTGTTTCAACCAGCAACTTAATTTTAAAATATTCTACTAATTAGTGTTTGATATATGCAAAGAAATACATGTGAAACATATGCTGTGAAGCACAAGAACCCAGTAATTTAAGAACTGGAACCTGCTTTAGTAATAGAAGTACAGAGAACAAAACTAATTCAGGATCTTGCAATGCCTGAAGGCCAGTATTCAAAACATCAGGATGCAGAGCAAATTGTCAAGCAGGTGAAAATTGTTTTTTCACACTCCCTTTTCCTTTATTTACCCCTTCCAGGGTTATGTGCATTTTGAAACAAAAACAAAAGAAGAAAAGTTTTAATCAAAGGAATGTCTCTTTATTGGTGGCATTCGGACACTAGTAATGGACCAGTTGGTGAGGTATCTTTGAAAAGAAAGCCATATTGTATAAAAGCAACTTCTACCTTCATATATTAGAAAAGCAAATAAACAAAAACTTCATAGAGAACACAATTCTAAAATTCTGGTATCTTCTAGTTTAAACAGGACAAACTGAGAGCCAAGCTAAAAATAGACAACTTAGTCAAGCAGTATCTTTTAAAAATTTTGATTTGATGTGTAAATTACTCTCTATAAGACATAAATCAACAAAAGGTTACACACTTTAGTAAGTTGTAGAGAGATCATATTAAGGCACAACCCTAATTCTGATTCTACTTATTGTCAGCCTCCACTTTCAATCTTGGATAGCAAACATACTTAGGTATTTCCTTAAAGTGAAATCTTCTAAATCATGTCATTACTCTGAATGGCTTGACTACTCAATTGCATCACCAGTCTGGCTTTCATGTAAAGGAGACACCACTGAATTCCCTTCTGGCCTCCTCAGTACATAGGTCCTAGTGCAGTAGAGGGTCAAGGGCACCAGAGGCAAAATTCAAGTTGCATGATCTTGAGGACAATTTTCACCCTTCTGACTTTTCGACTTCCTCGTCAGAAACACGAAGAAACTAGACTAGATAAATTCTGAAGTCTATTCCAATCCCAAAATTTTGTAACTGCTTTTGATTCTAATATTCAATCTGTGTTTGCTAAAAGAAATGCATGATTCTTTTGGCAATTCCTGAAATCTTAGAGGAAAGGAAGCCTCCCACCTCTGCCTTCCAGTGTCTAATTTAATTCTTCTTTCTCCTGAATTCCAAGGTGTTTGTAGATTCTCTTTGAGATTAGAAACTAATACTCCTCTAACCTGATTCAGTACCTAAAACAAAAATGGAATCTAGGGCAAAAAATTTAACATCCTCATGATTAATTTTTCCCCAGAAGAGAATCAAAGTTTACATTCATTCTACTTGGCAAGCATCCAATCAGACAATGCCTCTTCTGAAACTTACCTGTGTGGTGAGAACACTTTAAGCCCTGTATTAAAAAATAACTAATTAACTCTACTCTCAAGACTCTTCCATTGTAAGTATTTTTATTCTACTACAAAAAAAGTTTCTTGAGTCTGTTCTTCCAAGTGTCAAAACTTTTTCACAATGAATACCTTTCAATATATCTTGAATATTAAAGAAAACAAACTTCAAACACAATTTACAGAATAGATTAATTACAAAGAGGTTCTCATTGGCCAGATTTAAAATAATGAATGTTATTCCAATGACAGTCAAATGTCTCCTTCCTCCCTTACCCATCTTCTTCTCCACCTCAACCACAAAGCTCAGACATATTATAGGCTAAGGAATGATGTCAGGGAGCCTCTGTCAGAGGTATGTGAGAAGAGAGATCCAGCAAACTATATTTGGAATAGATATGTCTTTTCAAATATATCTAGTACCTGGAAGATCTAGTATTTTTATATCTGAATGACTTCTCTCCTAACCATGAAAGTATCAGTTTAGTTCACATAAATATTAAGCCATTCTTGTTAATAATAATTAGAAAAGTGGGGATGCCCCTAGAATAACAGTGGGTTCCCTCATGGCCAGGCCCACCAAAATTTGACATTCAGAAAAATATATTGAGACTTAAATGCTCCTGACTGCCAGCTCTGAAGAGAGCAGCGATCTCCCAGCACAGCACTTGAGCTCTGCTGAAGTACAGCCAGCCTCCTCAAGTGGGTTCCTGACACCTGTGCTTCTTGACAGAAAGATACCTCCTAGCAGGAGTCGACAGACACCTCATACAGGAGAGCTCTGGCTGGCATCTGGTGGGTGCCTATCGAGAAAAAGCTTCCAGAGGAAGGAACAGGCAGCAATCTTTGCTGTTCTGCAGCCTCCACTGGTGACACCCAGGCAAAGAGGTTCTGGAGTGGACCTCCAGCAAACTCCAGCAGACCTATAGAAGACAGGCCTGACTGTTGGAAGGAAAACTAACAAAGAGAAAGCAATAGCATCAACATCAACAAAAAGGATGGCCATGCAAAAGCCCCATCCGATGGTCACCAACATCAAAGAGCAAAGTTAGATAAATCTATGAAGATGAGGAAAAAACAGTAGAAAAAGGCTGAAAATTTCAAAAACCAGAATGGCTCTTCTCCTCCAGAGGATCACAACTCCTTGCCAGCAAGGGAACAAAACTGGACAGAGAATGAATTTGACGAATTGACAGGAGCAGGCTTCAGAAGGTGGGTAATAACAAACTCCTCTGAGCTAAAGGAGCATGTTGTAACCCAATGCAAGGAAGCTAAGAACCTTGAAAAAAGGTTACAGGAACTGCTAACTAGAATAACCAGTTTAAAGAAGAACATGAAAGACCTGATGGAGCTGAAAAACACAGCACGAGAACTTCATGAAGCATACAAAAGTAACAATAGCTGAATCGATCAAGTGGAAGAAACGATATCAAAGATTGAAGATCAACTTAATGAAATAAAGCACGAAGACAAGATTAGAGAAAAAAGAATGAAAAGGAACAAACAAAGCCTCCACGAAACATGGGACTATGTGAAAAGACCAAACCTACGTTTGATTGGTGTACCTGAAAGTGACAGGGAGAATGGAATCAAGTTACAAAACACTCTTCAGGATATTATCCAGGATAACTTCCCCAACCTAGCAAGACAGGCCAGCATTCAAATTCAGGAAATACAGAGAACACCACAAAGATACTCCTCGAGAGGAGCAACCCCAAGACACATAATTGTCAGATTCACCAAGGTTGAAATAAAGGAAAAAATGTTAAGGGCAGCCAGAGAGAAAGGTCGGGTTACCCATCCGACCTTTGGCCAGGGCAATCAGGCAAGACAAAGAAATAAAGGGTATTCAAATAGGAAGAAAGGAAGTCAAATTATCTCTGTTGGCAGATGACATGATTGCATATTTAGAATATATAAGAATATGCTGATGGCACCTGCAGAAGGCCACAAACACATTGACCAAGAAAGCAATGATTAACTGCCTGCCTGAGACTATGCACGTGCACAAGAATGTTTTAATCATCATTTCCAGTAATTTTCCTTAAAAACTTCTGATCCAGAGGCAGAACTCAGACAGAGGTGATCTTTGAATGCTAGTTGACTGCCTTCTCTGGATTGCCAGCTTCTCCAGTAAAGCTAACTTTCCTTTCACCAAAGCTTGTCTGGAGGTTTTGGCTTTCAGGTGATGAGTGGTTTGTTCCTGAGTTCAGTTACATATTCAGGAGATGAGGAAGGGGTAAGCTGTGCATATTGAGAACTATTAAGTACAAAACTATAACATAATACATTTGTGTTATTTTAAACCACTAAGTCTGAGATAATCTGTTATATCAGTAATTGGGAAGTAATACTGTATAGTTCATAAGGACAAGAGAAGAATAGATTCAGTATGATGGGACCACCTCAGTATTTTCAAACAGGTCATAAGGGAACTTAGCTGGAGTTTGGATGCAAGTTGGATGCTAACTAAAAGGGTCAAAGAGTCTGTGGCCAGAACTCAGCATTACAGGTAATGTGGCAGCAGCAGAAACCATAGCCAGACCAGTTTCCTGATCTTTGCATTCCAGTTACAGTCTAAACCATTGAAATCAATAGATAAGAGGCAGCCCCCTGACTTCTGCTCTTTCAGTCCTTTTAAGTGTCTAAATCCTTTTAGTGAATCCTTCCTGAATGAAATAAATGAAGTGGTTTCTCTGTCCTGCCCTGAACTACATAATATTCTCAGCTCTATAGGAAGAACATAAAACAAAACTCAAGGAAAGAAGAGTACAGATTTTTCTGCTGGCACCTTTAAGAGAGAGAAAATTTTAACAAAGTAAACTTGGCATTAGTCATCGGGAAAATGCAAATCAAAACCACAATGGCGTACCACTTTGCACTGACTAGGATAGTCATAATTTTTTTAAAAAGAGACAATAACAAGTATTAATGATGATGTGTGAAAATTAGAACCCTAATATACTAAGAATGGAAATGTGGAAATAATGAAGTCACTTCGGAAAACAGTTTGGCAGTTTCTCAAAATGTTAAACATAGAGTTACCTTATGACCCAGCAATTCCACACCTAGGTATATACTCAAGAGAAGGGAAAACATACACTTACACAAAATGTATGCACAACGTTCATAGCGGCATTATTAATAATCAAAAAGTAGACATAATCTGAATGTCCATCAAGTGATAATTGGATTAATAAAATGTGGCATATCTATACAATGAAATATTATTCAGCAATAAAAATAAAGTACATCATGGATGAACTTGAAAACATTATGCAAAATGAAAGAAGCCAGTCACAAAAGGCCACACATTGTGTGATTTCATTTATATGAAATGTCCATAAAAGGCAGCAAGTAGATCAATGGTTGCCATATTAGTCCATTCTCATGCTGCCATGAAGAAATACCCAAATGTTATGGTTTGGCAGTGTCCCCAGCCAAATCTCATCTTGAATTGTAGTTCCCATAATTTCCACATGTAGTGGGAGGGGCCCAGTGGGAGGTAACTGAATCACGGTGGCAGTTTCCCCATGCTATTGTCGTGATAGTAAGTTCTCACAAGATCTGGTGTTTTTATAAGGGGCTTCCCCCTTCACTTGGCTCTCATTCTTCTCTCTCCTGCTGCCATGTGAAGGACATGTTTGCTTCCCTTTCCACCATGATTATAAGTTTCCTGAGGCCTCCCCATTCATAGAACTGTGAAACAAACCTCTTTTCTTTATAAATTACCCCTTCTCAGGCATTTCTTCATAGCAGCGTGAGAATGGACTAATACATCGAGACTGGGTAATTTATAAAGAAAAGAGGTTTAATTGACTCACAGTTCTGCATGGCTGTGGATGCGTCAGAAAACTTAACAAGCGTGGGGAAAGGGACCTCTTCACAGGGTGGCGGGAGAGAGAATGAGTGAAAGCAGGGGAAATGCCAGACACGTATAAAACCATCAGATCTCGTGAGACTCACTCATTATTATGAGAACAGCATAAGAGAAACCGCCTCCATGATTCAAATTACTTCCACCTGGTCCCACCCCTGACATGTGGGGATTATTACAATTCAAGGTGAGATTTAGGTGGGGACACAGAGCCAAACCGTATCAGTTGCTTAGGGATGGGGTGATAGGGACTTAGGCAATAATGCATAAGGAATGCTAGAATTCTTTCTGGGGCAATGAAAATGTTCAGTTATTGATTGCAATGATGGATGTACAACATTGTAAATATAATAAAGCCACTGAATTGTATATTTTCAATGAGCGAATTGTATGGTATGTGAATTGTATCTCAATAAAGTTGATTTTTATAAGATGTAAGGCCAAATGGGACAACTTTTAATAAAAGGGTTCAGTTAGGTTGTGTGTAAGAGAGAAAAGCACTAAAGCACAAAAAGGAGAAGCTAAAGGAGATAATTCACAGTGCTCAAAAAAAATTTTCTAATGTTTTGACATAGTTTTTAGAAAGAGTTAAAACTAAGAGATCCTGCATATTAGGGAATACCTACTCACTTGGAGTGATATCTAATGTATTTTCTCTGTCAATTATTCAAATTATTTAGCATCTCAAGAACTATGATGGAAGTCATTTCTAAGCAAGACTTAGACATTAAATAACGAAGACATTAAACATTTGAATAGAATATCTGATACACAGGTAGATTTACTATGAAGCTGATGAAGCTTAAGCCTCAGCACCCCTCATTTGCATGGGACACTTCCAAAGCCCTAGGAAGAGCCTTGGTTGGCGGTGAATTCACAAGATCACATGTGATATGGTTTGGCTCTGTTTCCCCACCCAAATCTCATCCCAAATTTTAATCCCCATGTATCAAGGGAGAGACCTGTGAGAGGTGATTGGATTATGGGGGCAGTTTCTCCCATGGTGTTCTCTGGATAGTGAGTGAGTTCTCACAAGATCTGATGGTTTAAAAGTGGCACTTCCCCCTTTGCTCACTCTCTGTCTCTCTCCTGCCACCATGTAAGACATGCCTTGCTTCCCCTTTTGCCTTCTGCCATGATTGTAAGTTTCCTGAGGCCTCCCAAGCCATGTGGAACTGTAAGTCAATTAAGCCTCTTTGGTTTATAAATAACCCAGTCTCAGGTAGTTCCTTATAGCAGCATGAAAGTAGACTAATACAACATGTTTTTGTAAAATTTGAAAAAGTAAGATTTTTTTTTTAACAGCAATTGATTAAGACTGGTGTTCTTTCCAGATCTTAAATTCCCCCTTTATCACTCTTTTTATGTGGGATGATATTAGAGTTGCCGATGACATTTTGAGGATCTGGACGTGGGAAAGTAGAATGAGGATATATTTTGTTTGGGATGGATGGGATATATTTATATGGGTCACAGTCACCTTCATACATCCCTTCTACTACCCACATACTTCCAGTGCCAGGTGCCATAGGCCACATCTGTATTGTCATACCACCTCTAGCACTCCCAATTATGTGTTTCCTTTCCCCCCAAAACTTCTCCTTAAACAAAGCATGCTAGAGGAAGGACTGGTGTGTCTTATTCTCTCTGAAGAAGGCTAGATCATAAAATTGTCATATAAAATGCAAGCAAAAGTATTCAGCCTCACTCTACACAAGAAAGGTCAAACTGACTTAAAAGATTAAATTCCCAAAAACAAAGCTCTAAAAATGTTACCAGAAAACACATGTAAAGACTTTCTAAACTTTCTAAACTTGACTCCAAACCTGGAAATTTTAAACAAAAATAATGAGTAATGTGACTACATAAAACTTTTAAAACATCTACATAACCGAATTAAAACAATTAAACAAGATTAAAAGCAAACTATAAACTGGGGGGAATATTTGCAATATATATGGCAAAAAGTTAGTCTCCTTTAGCTCTAAATGCAAATAATTCAAAAAGTAAAAGACAAATGCTCCAAAAGATATAGGAACAGAGGTAGAACACAGAATTGATAGAAGAGAAACTCCAGACACAAAGGGAAAAAATAAATGCAAATTAAAGTAAACATGACATATTACTTTCTAGCCAGTAAGGTTTTTTATGAGCTAATAACATCCAGTGTTGAATAAAGAGGCAATTTACCTATACATATCCAAAATGATTAAATGTTCACACCTTTGGACCATCAATTTCATTCTAAAAATGATTTATAAGGAAACATCATCTATAAATTCAAACAATTGTAAACAATCAAAAACCCACCAATCAGAGGTTAGTTAAATAAACTATTGTGAGTGATTTGTTTTGGCTGTGTCCCCACTCAGATCTCATCTTGAATTCCTACATGTTGTAGGAGGGACCCATTGAGAGGTAATTGAGTCATGGGGATAAGTCTTTCCCATGCTTTTTTCATGATAATGAATAAGTCTCATGAGATCTGGTGATTTTAAAAATGGAAGTTCCCCTGCACAATCTCTCTTCTCTTGTCTGCCACCATGTGAGACATGACTTTCACCTTCTGTCATAATTGTGAGGCCTCCCCAGCCATGTGGAACTGTAAGTCTATTAAACCTCTTTCTTTTGTAAATTGCCCAGTCTCAGATATGTCTTTATCAGCAGCATGAAAACAGACTAATACAGTAAATTGGTACCAGTAGAGCACAGCACTGCTAAAAATATACCTGAAAATGTGGAAGTGATTTTGGAGCTGGGTAACAGGCAGAGGTTGGAACAGTTTAGAGGGCTCAAAAGACAGGAAAATGTGGGAAAGTTTGGAACTTCCTAGAGACTTGTTGAATGGCCTTGTCCAAAATGCTGATAGCCATATGGACAATAAAGTCCAGGCTGAAGTGATCTCACATGAAGCTGAGGAACTTGTTGGGAACTGGAGCAAAGGTAACTCTTGTTATGTTTTAGCAAAGAGACTGGTGTCATTTTGCCCCTACCCTAGAAACTGATGGAACTTTGAACTTGAGAGAGATGATTTAGAGTATCTGGTGGAAGAAATTTCTAAGCAGCAAAGCATTCAAGAGGTGACTTCAGTGCTGGTAAAGGCATTCCATTTTATAAGGGAAGTAGAGCATAAAAGTTCAGAAAATTTGCAGCCAGAAAATACAATAGAAAATAAAATCCCATTTTCTGAGGAGATATTCCAGTCAGCTGGAGAAATTTGCGTAACAAGGAGCCAAAAGTTAATCCCCAAGACAATGGGGAAAATGTCTCCAGGGCATGTCGGAGGTCTTCACATCAACCCCTCCCATCATAGGCTAGGAGGAAAGAGTGGTTTCCTGGGCCAGGCCCAGGGTCCCCATGCTGTTTGCAACCTAGGGACTTGGTGCCCTGCATCCCAGCTGCTCCAGCCATGGCTGAAAGAAGCAAACATAGAGCATGGGCCATGGCTTCAGAGGGTGCAAGTCTCAAGCCTTGACAGCTTGCATATGATGCTGAGACTGCGGGTACACAGATGTCAAGAAATGGGGGTTGGGAACCGCTGCCTAGATTTCAGAAGATGTATGGAAATGCCTGGATATCCAGGCAGAATTTTGCTGGTGGAGCTTTCATGGAGAATCTTTGCTAGGTCAGTGCAGAGGGGAAATGTGGGGTTGGAGCCCCAACACTGAGTCCCTACTGGGAAACCACCTAGTGGAGCTATGAGAAGAAGGCCACCATCCTCCAGACCCCAGAATGGTAGATCCACTGACAGCTTGCACCGTGCACCTGGAAAAGCCACAGATACTCAACACCAGCCCATGAAAGCAGCCAGGAGGGAGGCTGTACCCCACAAAGCCACAGGGTTGAAGCTGCCCTAGATCATGGGAACCCTCCTCTTGCATCATTGTGACATGGATGTGAGACACGCAGTCACAGGAGATCATTTTGGAGCTTTATGATTTGACTGCCCTGCTGGATTTCAGATTTGCATGGGGCCTGTAGCCCCTTTGTTTTGGCTAATTTCTCCCATTTAGAATGTATTTACCCAATGCCTGTACCCCCTTGTATCTAGAAAGTAACTAACTTGCTTTTGATTTTATAGGCTTATAGGTGGAAGGGACTTGCCTTGTCTTGGATGAGACTTTGAACTGTGGACTTTTGAGTTAATGCTGAAATGAGTTAAGACTTTGGGGGACTGTTGGGAAGGCATGATTGGTTTTGAAATGTGAGGACATGAGATGTGGGAGGGGCCACAGGTGGAATGATATTGTTTGCCTGTGTCCACACCCAAATCTCATCTTGAATTCTCACATGTTGTGGGAGGGACCCAGTGGGAGATAAACTGAATCATGGGGGCAAGTCTTTCCTGTGCTGTTCTCATGATAGTGAATAAGTCTCATGAGATCTGATGGTTTTACAAATGAGAGTTTCCCTGCACAAGCTCTCTTTTCTTGTCTGCCTCCATGTGAGATGTGCCTTTTACCTTCTGCCCTGATTGTGAGGCTTTCCCAGCCATGTGGAACTGTAAGTCCATTAAACCTTTTTCTTTTGTAAATTGTCCAGTCACAGGTATGCATTTATCAGTAGCTTGAAAACAGACTGATACAGTGAGTCCTTATAATGGCCTACAATGTATCCATTAGGAGAATATCATAGAACATCTGCTGACATAAAAGATAGATACACTATAATGCTAAATGAAAAAGGTAAATTATACAAATATATGCAGCATATAATTCTTATAGACAGCAATCATGATAATAATAGCTGTAATAATAGCTAATATTTATCAAAACTTACTAAGTGCTTGGCATTTTTTCTAGGCTCATTGGGTATATTATCTCTTTTAATTCTCACAACAAAGTTATGAAGGAGTTATTATTATTACCTTCATTTTGTAGATGGGGAAAATGAGGCAGCAAGAAACAAGATACTTACTCAAGGTGAAGTCAGGATTTGGACCCAGGTCATCTGAACTCCAGCTCCTACTCTCTTAACTGCAGTGCTGCTAATTTCTGAATTGTACAATTATTAGAGTAGAGTAGATTAACCATCAGTTATTAGTAAAAAATTCCCCAAAATATTAATAATGTTTACTTCTGGGAAATAGAATTATGAATGATATGTATTTTCTTATTTTTCTTATCGGTACTTTCTAAATTTTCTACAAGAAATATGTAAACTTACACAAAGAGAAAGCAGAAATATTAGTTTTTATGACCCATTCTTTCCATTCCTTTCCTATCTGTAAGATGATAATTGTTCTAAAAATCACCCCTACTCCCACCTATATACCAATAGAAAGACCACCCAAAGAAAACCAACACATTTTAAATATTTGACACCTAATCTTAAAAACAAGAAAGTCCAAGTGAGCCAAGATCACACCATTGCACTCCAGGCTGGGCAACAGAGGAAGACTCCATCTCAAACAAACAAACAAACAAAACAAACAAACAAAAAAAGAAAGTCCACCATCCCGGCGTTTGGGGTTCTCTTTCATGACAGAGAGGTAAAGGTGAGTGAGTAGCGGGTAGTTTTAATCTGTCATGAGTGAGTCAAAACTTTGTCTCCTATCGAAGTTATTTTATTTATTCATTCATTCTAAAACTTCAATTGGGAAGTTTAGAAATTATATTAAAATCAAAATGGATCAAAAAGCCAGATGTTGCAGGCAGGATGACTAATCAAACAGCCTGGGTAATGTGTTCCACGCCCTGCTCAATGGGAAGTAATTACTCTAACATTGCTTTACAGTGTTTAAACAACCATTTCATTATATTTTTTCTACACTGATTAAATTTTCTCAGCATTTCTAATGCATCATTACATCTGCATTGCATTTAGATAACGCACAGCATTGCTACCCATTAAAAAGTCCCTACTCTCTTTCATCACCTTAATAAATCTAATTTGGCTTTATTTGCATAAAGTTTGAAAAAAGTGATTAGTTCTCTTATGTATAACACACCTTGGGTAGAAACATCCTTCCTATCTGTCACTTGGCTAAAAACAGTTGTTCACAGACATGTAAGTGGATGCCCAAGCATAGTCCCTATAAGTGTATGGGGTAAAATAAAATTTGTAGCACATATGCCATTGTAGAATTACTATCTATACTTTCTAAGGTTGCTGAGGGGTGGATATAGTAATCATACAACCATCTACTGCACTTTGTTTCTTGTTCCTAAATAAGCCTGAGGAATTATAATAGAGAACAACATCAAGTATAATAAACTCACATTTTAGCCTTCTGCTTCAGTATTCACATTCACCCTCAACACATAGTTAGAGACTCAGGACATTGTAGCCCTTGACCGAGCAAATGGACTGTTAAGTAATCTCAGGAAGAGATTAGCTAAGATGAAAAGCTCTGCTAAGGTATCAGATATGCCAGGCAACCACTTATAGAAACTCAAACTCTGCTAAGTTCTCCGGGGAACATTTTTAAGCATTGCAAATAAATGGATCGTGTTGGTGAACTATTATGCAGTGACACTGATTCCGCCTTTTGAACTTAGAGTTTTGATAATTGAAACTCAAAACCACTAAACAAGTGTCCTTGGAAATCAGAAGAAGAGAACATTAGTTCCTAAAGGGGAAGAGAATATCAGTGGAAGTCAATGCACCATACTCTGCATTTGCAAGAAAGATGCTGATACAGTGACAGAGTGATGAAAGGAACCCCTCATTTAATTTTTTTGACAGAATAAGGCATTGCAGAAACAGATTGCACCAAGTGTTTGAACTCTCCCTGATAAGTCAGTGACTCACTATCCACTTCTATGCTGCTATTCATTCCCCCAAACAGAAGCCACCAGTTTTTATTTCCACAGTGGGAAAAATACCATGTTTTTAAAAATTTACTAAATGCATCTTCAAAGTCTTTTATTTCAAAGCTCTGACCTTTCCCCTCCTACACATCTTGCTCCCTTCTGTTTCTCCCTTCCTTTCCCTACTTCTTGAGCACCCTCATGGGCCTCTGTTTACAACTCACTTCAGAGTCCCATTCTGGCTGCTCCCCTCCATCCCATCCTCACTGAACAATGAATGAATTCTAACACAATGGCAGGTATTGCAATGGTTTTACTCAATTCTCTGGGACTTAGCCTCTGCCAGGCAAGGGAGTCAAGGACAGATTGCAAATTCTTAAACAACAAAAAGTGTCATAGAAGGAGGAGCTTGGCTTTAAAACTAACCATCTAACTAACTAATTATGGAATCTTTAAGATATGAGAAGCCTAGGAATCATGAGAATGATATGATAATTTTTCCTTTTTCCAGGTGAGAAGAGCTAGGAATGCTACCTGTTCACTATAGCTGACTACCCCTCCAGCCCCAAGAGTCTCACCTTTGTAGAACATGTGACTACAGACTCTGATTCCCAATGTGTTATTTCCTTTTTCTTTCTTTCTTTCTTTCTTTCTTTCTTTCTTTCCTTTCTTTCCTTTCTTTCTTTCTTTCTTTTCTTTCTTTCTTTCTTTTCTTTCTTTCTCTCTTTCTCTCTCTCTCTCTTTCTTTCTCTCTCTCTTTTTTGGGACGAAGTCTCACTCTGTCGCCCAGGCCAGGCTGGAGTGCAGTGATGCAATCTCAGCTGACTGCAACCTCTGGCTCCCGGGTTCAAGCAATTCTCCTGCCTCAGCCTCCCGAGTAGCTGGGATTACAGATATGTGCCACCACACCCAGCTAATTTTTGTATTTTTAGTAGAGAGACAGGGTTTCACCATGTTAGCCAGGCTGGTCTCAAACACCCGACCTCAGGTGATCCACCTGCCTCGGCCTCCCAAAGTGCTGGGATTAAAGGTGTGAGCCACCACACCCAGCCCCAATATGTTATTTTCTTGCTCTCCATTCTAGAATTATCATCTTTTGTTTTAAAAAAAAAATTCTTTTTGCTTCAATCTTCTAGCGTAGTAGTGCTTTTATGTGTTTTTGCTCGTATTATCCAGTAGTCAAAACCTTCATTTCAACACAACTGATCTCATCTACCTGTGAGGAAGAAAGAAATAAGATTGACCCATAAACCCAGAAGTGAGATTGACTAATGGCTAGATGAGTGTTAACTCCCTTTAAGAAAGGCAGTCCTCCCATAGCACCTAGGCTCTGAAGCCATTCACTATTTAACCTCTTTTGCCTGAATGCAGTCAAATTCTTGTGCGAGATATGTGGGGACATCAACCATATCCCCTAATCTTGGCATCTTTGCTCTTTTCATTCTGACTTCTACTCGAGTATATAGAGATGAAAAAAGAAATGGTAACTACTCTCAAGAACATCACAGTTAAGAATATAGATTCAATTTTTATTCAACTTATATATGAATATTTTGGCTGAATCATAGATAGCACTCTGCTGGGCTGACATTCAGCATTAGGCAATATAATTTTGTAGAAATTTTCAGAATGTTCCAGTCCAATGGTTCTCAAAGTGAGAATCCAGGACCAGCAGCATTAGCATCACATGAGACCTTGTCAGGCAGGCTCTCTCTATCCCAAGCCCACAGAATAAGAAGTCCTGGGGATGGGACCCAGCAATTTGTAATTTAATAGTTCTCCAGATGATTCTGATACAGGTCAAAATTTGAGCACCACTCTTTAAACTAAACAGTATGTCAACTATCATGGACTATTCAGTAGTTGGTTAATTGATTATTGATTATTAAGGAGCTCTAAAACAGATACCTAGCCACATGCATTTATTAGCACAGGGCCTAGAAGCTCATGGAAGAGAATGAGAACACAGTTCCCAATTGGGTGTCTGGCAAGATAAAGATGTGATCACGGCCTCTTCAAAGAATATCACCAAAGAGAAGGCGAGTAGCATGGATTGAACTAAGCAGCTGGCCTGAATACTAGTAGAATTCATAGCTCCTGTTGCAGTCTATAAATCCATAAGGTCATTTAGTACCCTGTACCCTGTGGTTCTATGCAGACAGAAATACAAGGGGCTGTGTGGTTGGGCAGAGAGAGAACACCAGGGGTCAGTGGTTCTGGAGGAGGTCAGTAGTGGCATGGGGAGCAACAAG
Organism: Homo sapiens; assembly: GCF_000001405.40. Classification (NCBI taxonomy): domain Eukaryota; kingdom Metazoa; phylum Chordata; class Mammalia; order Primates; family Hominidae; genus Homo; species Homo sapiens. The sequence goes on from NC_000005.10 coordinate 118,739,277, forward strand.
GTCAGCCACCACGAGCTGCAGAATGCCTGACAGCAGACCACAGACAGAAATTTCTTACATGGGAGAAGCTCTACTCTCCAACGTGGGAGAAGCTCTACTCTCCAATGACCTATAAAATGAGCATCTGGGGAGCAGGATGGGGAAAAAAAGACAGAACTTCTTGTTACCCAAGTCATAGGAAGCTCAGCACAGTTGATTTCTAGTTTTTGTTTGTTTGTTTGTTTGAGACAGAGTCTCACTCTGTTGCCCAGGCTGGAGTGCAGTGGCAGATCTTGGCTCACTGCAATCTCCACCTCCCAGGTTCAAGCAATTCTCCTGTCTCAGCCTCCCTAGTAGCTGGGACTACAGTTGCATATCATCATGACCGGCTAATTTTTGTATTTTTAGTAAAGACAGGGTTTTACCATGTTGGGCAGGCTGTTCTCAAACTCCTGACCCCAGGTGATCTGTCTGCCTTGGCCTCCCAAAGTGCTGGGATTAGAGGCATGAGCCACTGCACTTGGCCTCTAGTTTTGCTTTATATGAGGTGCCATTCTTTTGGCCAAGAGGTGAAGCCAAGGAGCATAAGGGGCATTCATGTATATACATTTAGTATGCATAGGAGCAAAAAGAATCCAGTGTTTTTCTGTTCTCATTTTCTGACAAGGACCTATGTAATCTGCCCTAGGCGGAACGGTTTTGAAACACATAGAATAGACCACACAGAGGCCCTCACATCACTTTTAATTACAGCCTCTCAGGGTCACCACAGCCAGATGGGCTGCCTAGGAAACCTGTTTCATGGGGGAGGCTCTCGCCTACCCCAAAACCACCACACCACCTGAGCTACAAGCTGATCATTGTCCAGTGTCCTGATACTTTTTAATACAATCAACTTCTAGGTTACCCATCTCACCCCACTTTTAATCCTCACACTGTATTTGTGTATTCTCTAATGTGTTCTCATTTTATATATTTTCCCCAAACTCCTAAACCCAACTATACCCTGTGAAATTCATGGCCAGTTTCAACAGACTCCTCTTTATCCTCAGTGTCTTCTTGCTCCAACTGCAATGTGGCTACATCTCAAGTACACTACTTCCCTGAGGCCTTCTCAAGTGATCTTCTCCTGCAACTCTTGAACCTCTGAGCTGAAGATTTTTGACCTCTACCTACCACTGCTAAGACATCGCCTTCCTTCTCTCCTCTGTTCATCTGAAGCCCGTGACACAGCTTTATCATCAGACATGTGCTGCTGTCATCTACTGACTTGCAGTCACTTCCCTTCCCCTGCGTGGGGAAAAACACAATATCTGGATTGATGTTTCTCTTTCTAATACACTCTTTCAACATTGTTGTTGATCTCAGTATCCATGAATGCCTTGTTTCTTATACCTTGGCCTCTCTGTACCTGGACTTCCTTGCTTCCAAAAATCTCTTACCTTATCCACTCACTCTAGACCTTGCCATCATACCACTCCCAAAATCTTGATTTAAAGCACCCTCAGTGGGCTGCCCTGGCCTATCAGCAACAATCCTCCAAGTCCAACAGCACAGAGACCAGTAGAGATGCTAGAGCAACAGCCACATTTGAGGGAGAAGCTTTCTGATCTAGAATGAAAGGACAGGGATAGAGGAATTCATATGTGTAAAAAATGAGCTTCCAGGAAAAGAAAAAGAGCAACAGAAGTAGTAAAATAAAGGGAAGAAACCAGGCAAGGAAGATGAGATCAGATTTAACACTTTGTTCATTTCCCAATATACCACAAATATTCAATAAATATTTGGTTAATATTAATATTAATTAATATTCAATTAAAATGTATCAATTTAATAAACAGGTCTGGGCTCTGACTAGATGAAGTTTTAAATATATAGTTTGCAATATGTCATAATCTCCTAACCAAATGTTTATATTTTGAATTTAAATTTTTTTAATGTAGCTGTCATTTTAGTGGACCAAACCAGGCTAATGATAACTATTTGTTATCTGGCCTTTGTTCTGACTTCAATTCTGTTAGAAATGTACAAGATTTCATTCATTATAGTGGGAATGTCAATGTAGTTGATTTCACCTGGAATACAGAGATGCTCCTGCAAAACTAAAAATATAAACCACTAAGCCTAGAAAAACATTCATTTTCATTTTTTTCTCTCTCTTTTTGAAGTCTCCTTGAATGTTCCTTTGCCTCTTTGTTATTTTAGAGTTTCTTTGGGGTTTTTTTGGGGGGGGGGTTTGGGGTTTTTTTGTTTTGTTTTTGTTTTGTTTTGTTTTGTTTGAGACAGAGTCTCACTGCTGCCCAGACTGGAGTGCAGTGACATGATCTTGGCTCACTGCAACCTCTGCCTCTGGGGTTGAAGTGATTCTCATGCCTCTGCCTCCCAAATAGCTGGGATTACAGCCGCGTGTCACCACATCTGGCTAATTTTTGTGTTTTCAGTAGAAGCGGGATTTCATCATGTTGGCCAGGCTGGTCTCAAATTCCTGGCCTCAAGTGATCTGCCCACCTCGGCCTCCCAAATTGCTGGGCTTACAGTCATAAGTCACCAGACCAGGCCTTTTGTGGGTTTTTTAAATTTCAGTTTTTATTTTAGATAAACATGTGCAAGTTTGTTACATGGCAATATTGTGTGATGCTAAGGTTTGGGGTACAGATCCCATCACCCAGTTAGTGAGCATAATACATGATAGGTAGTTTTTCAGCCTGTGCCCATCTTCTTGCCTCCCCCATCTAGTAGTCCACAGGGTTTATTGTTCCCATGTTTATGTCCATGTGTGCTCAATGTTTAGCTCCCACTTATTAGTGAAAGCATGCAGTATTTGGTTTTCTGTTCCTGCATTAATTTGCTTAGGATTATGGCCTCCAACTGCATCTATCTTGCTGCAAAAAAACATGATTTCATTCTTTTTGATGGCTACATAGTATTCCATGATATATATGTACCACATTTTCTTTATCCAATCTATCATTGATAGGTACCTAGGTTGATTCCATGTCTTTGTATTGTAAATAGCATAGTGATGAACATAAGTGCCTGTCTTTTTGGTAGACTGATTTATTTCCCTTTGGCTATAGACCCAGTAATGGGACTGCTAGGTCTAATGGTAGCTCTGTTTTCAGTTATTTGAGAAATATCTAGACTGCTTTCCACAGTAGACAGACTAATTTACATTCCTACCAACAGTATATAAGCATTCCCTTTTCTCTGCAGCTTTGCCAGCATCTGTTGCGGTTTGACTTTTTGATAATAGCCATTCTGACTGGTGTGAGATGGAATCTCACTGCAGTTTTCATTTGCATTTCTCCAATGATTAGTAATGTCGAGCATCTTTTCACATGTTTGTTGGCCACTGTATGTCTTCTTCTGAGAAGTGTCTGTTCATATCCTTTGTGCACATTTTTAAATAGGGTTCTTTGGGTTTGCTTGTTGATTTCTCTCAGTTCTCTATAGACTGTGGATATTAGGCCTTTGTCAGATACATAGTTTGTGAATATCTTCTGCTGCTCTGTAGGTTGTCTGTTTACTCTGTTGATAGTTTATTTTGCTGTGCAGAAGCTCTTCAGTTTAATTAGGTCCCACTTGCCTATTTTTGTTTTTGTCGCTATTGCTTTGGGGTTCTTAGCCAAAAATTATTTGTCAAGATCAATGTCAAGAAGAGTATTTCCTAGGTTTTCATCTAGTATTTTTATAGTTTGAGGTCTTATATTTGAATCTTTGGTCCATTTTGAGTTAATTTTTGTATATGCCACCTAAAAGACATAGATGCTGCCTTCAAGAGACCTATCTCACATATATTGACACCCACGGGCTTAAAGAGAAGGACTGGAGAAAGAACTACCATGCAAAAGAAAAACAAAGAGCAGAAGTTGCTACTCTTATATCAGACAAAACAGACATTAAACCTTTAACACTTAAAAAGGACATTACATAATTATAAAGGGTACAATCCATCTAAAAGTCTTAACTATCCTAAATCAATACACACCCAACATTGGAGCACCCAGATTCATAAAACAAGTTCTTTGTGAACTACGAAAACACTTAGCCACACAATAGTAGTGGAAGACTTCAAAACTCCACTGACAGCATTAGGCAGATCATCGAGACAGAAAACTAACAATGAAACTCTGGACTTAAATTCAATGCTTGACCAATTGGACCTAATAGACATCTACAGAACACTTCACCCAACAACCACAGAATATACATTATTCTTATGTGCACACAGAATATAGTCTAAGATCGACCACATGCCAGGTCATAAAGCAAGTCTCAATAAATTCCAAAAAATCGAAATCACACCAAGCATACTCTCAGACTACAGTGCAATAAAACCAGAAATCAATATCAAGAAGATCTCTCATTTATCAATATTGAAGGAAGGGATTTCTGAACTCCAGTGCTTTATATCTCAGAATAAAAGCATTTGGTCTCCCAGGTTCAATAGCTAAGCTTAAGCTGGAATCCAGAAACATTACCAAGGAACACTCAGGTTTCACCAACTATGGTTAAAAGTAGGTTTTATAGTTGTTGCACTTGATTTTTTGTTTGTTTGTGTAGCTTTTTAAAATCCTACCTGAAATAGTGGGCTTTATTTGGATTAATAAGAAACCCAAAGTAAACTTAGTAGGCATTAAATTTTTCAAGCCAGGTGGATGCTATGGGAAAGGAAGAAGGGAAGGAAGACAGCAAGGAAGGAAGGGAAGGAGAAAGACAGAGAGACAGACAGGGAGGGAGTGAGGGAGGGAAGAAGAGAAGGAGGAAGGAAACTTCACAATATGTTGATGATAGTGTTTTCTACCCATTTTTATTTCCCTGTTCATTTTTATTCCCTTTCTTGTTTGGCTCATGTATTCCTAAAACATTGCAAGAGTCTTCTCCAAAACAAGGAGCTTGCATCTCAGGATTTACAATCTTATTAGGATCCTTAGTCTTGCCTATAGCCTCTACTAGAAAGTGAGCTACAGGAAGGCAGTAGACACATGCTTGATGCATGGTAGTCACTCACAAAACTAAATAAATTAATGAAGAAATAAACATATGAAAATGGCTGCATTCTGAAGCAAATGAACTCAACAATAATATATCGTGCATGTTCTAGGTTTCCCAAACTTCAGATATCTACATTCTATTATAATAAGTTTCATATATTATATTATAATATAATATAAATATTATAATATTTTTCTTCATACTGCTCCATGGTTTTACTAAATAAGGATTCATTTGAAAGAAAATTTTATATGACTATAGTAAATGCAAAACCATTGTCAGTTAACATAAATGGCCAGCAACTGTGAAAACAAATACAATAAATGTTTGATTCCTTGACCTGATGGATGGTTTTGTTTTTTATAATACCTTTATTAATATATGTCACCTACCATACAATTCACTCATTTAAAATATACAAGACAATGGGTTATCATATATTCACAGTTGTGCAATCATCACCACACTATTTTGGGAGCACTTCCATCACACCAAAAAGAAACCCAGTACCCATTAGCACTCACTCCCCCAGTAATTATTTTTAAACTATACAGATATATAATATACTGTATGTCATCTTCTATCACTCTCTCTCTCTCTCTCATATATATATACATATATATATATATATATACACACACACACACACACACACATATACACATATATATAAAACCTTATACTGATATATACAGGTATATACATCTTTTATACATACATAAAAATGTAAAGTAAAAATTATATAGTATATATGCATGTGTGTATATATATAGAGATACACACACACACACACACACACACACATACACCCACACACATCAACACATCAGTGTAAGGTAAAAATGATTATTCTAGGCCAGGAACAGTGGCTCATGCATGTAATTCCAGCACTCTGGGAGGCCAAGGTGAGAGGATTGTTTGAGCCCAGAAGTTTAAGACCAGCCTGGATAATATAGCAAGACCCTGTCTCTACAAAAAATAAAATATTAGCCAGACATGGTGGCACATATTTGTAGCCCCAGCTACTCGGGAGGCTGAAATAAGAGGATTGCTTAGGCCCTGGAGTTCGAGGATGCAGTGAGCCATGATTGCTCCACTGCACTCCAGCCTCAGTGACAGAGTAAGACCCTGTATCAAAAATAAATAAATAAATACTAATTAGTGGTATTAAATTCTAACTAGATATTGATATGCTAAAGGCTTTGGGCTGAAGCCCCCTTTCTCTGAAAGGCTAGTACATGTTAGGGATAAGGGCTTCAGACCAGCCCCAACAGAGGGTTCCTCTTCCAAGCAATCAAAATAATTTAAAAAGAAATGAAATAGGAATAGCCTTCTCACCAAGTGATTCAAAGTTATTTAATGTCTGTCCATGTGCCCCAAAGTCATCTCTCATATGCCGGTGTTATGTATTATACTCACAAAAACACTGTGCTAGCTGTTCTCACACCAGATCTGATTCTAGAAAAGTCTTGACTACTCAGTAATTATATAGTAGAGGAATATGCAAAGTTTGACTGTAGATATTTCACTATACTGTTTCATAACCCCACTTGGCAAATGTGCCTCATGGAATTGCAGTGTGCTTCTCTACCCTTCTGCACTCAAAAGTTGGGTCCTCAATCCAGAACTGCAATTAGTTTGCTGTTCGAGTCCAGCAATCTTGTCTACAGCCCTTACCTTAAAGAAGATGAAATTTAGATCACAGTGACTGTAAATCAAATCTTTCACAGTGTGCCTGTGTATCTTGGTCAATCAATCAACAGGTTTTATTCGTTTCTTGCTGTACTGGGAGGAACAGAGGAGGGCAGAGGAAAGCGTAATGTATTTTCTCCCCCTATAGCTTTTAAGTTCTCACTGCATGAATTTCCTTTTCTCTCTGCAGAATCACAGGTGAATGACAGTTCCACAACACCACACAAGCTTCCTGAACATTAGTCCCCAGTGGAATCGGATGCAAGTATTTCTTCCCCTTTTGTGGGTAAAATCCAGACTCCCTTTGTTCAGGGATGTGCATCAAACACTAAGCCTCTTGAGTCCACATATCAAGGATCACAAATTCCTTGATTAAAAAACAAAGCCCATTCATGGAACTGGAGGTGGTCAGGGAGCAGACTGTTTGCCATAACTACGATAAAAGCTAGCAAAGAAGTGGGTAGAAAAGTCATTCTTCCCCCTAACAGATGAGTCGTCCCTCAGAAAATTGATGACTTTAGAACATCTTACATTCAAAAAGGCAAAAGTTTGGGGGATTTTGTAGGAAATGATAGCTTCCCACAAATTAGTTTTTAAATTGAATTTTTCACTCTTGAGATATTTGATAAACTTCTGTCTTTCCCACTAAAAATCATGCCAAAAAATAATCCATATGACCATTTACCTGAGCCATGGTTTACCTATGGCAAGTTTACATCCAAAGTTCAACCTATTATAAAAAAGTTTGTTTAGGATGAAATGCTTTGCAAATTAGCATCTTCTAATTCCAAAAACAAATCCTAATTTAAATTTTTCTTTGGAATTGTAAAGACAATATACTCACATAAATATCAAAATATTTAAAATGTGAGTGTGGAGGAGGGGCAGAGGATTTTAACAGCCATTCAAGAGGGTTAGGCATGAGACCTAGGTTCTTCTCCTGTTGCAAATGCTTTCTCTGTCTTTGATTCATTCTCCACCTTCTATGATTTAGAATATATTTCCCTGAATGAGAAAAGAGTAATTGCTAATAAGCAATTTAGCCTGAGATATGCAATGGAATTGACACCAAAGTTGGTTTCTTTCTACTAAGTGTACTGATAAGTTTTGATAATACAATATATATTTCAGATATATTTGTATTTGCTTATAAATTAACATACAGGTTGAGCATCCCTAATCCCAAAATTTGAAACCCAAAATGCTCCAAAATCTGAAACATCTTGAACACCAACATGACACCACAAGTGCAAAATTCCACACCAGCTTCATCTGTGACAGGCACATGATGCAGTTTGCTCAGCATCCCCAAGGAAAGACACCCTTCCAACCCACTTCAGCTGCTATTGTTTAACAGTTGATACAAGCCAGGCGCAGTGGCTCACACCTGTAATCCCAGCACTTTGGGACCTAGGCTGGCAGACCACTTGACCTCAGAAGTTCGAGACCAGGCAGGCCAACATGGTGAAACCCCCTCTCTATTACAAATACAAAAATTAGCCGGAAATCACTTGAACTCAGGAGGCGGAGGTTGCAGTGAGCCGAGATTGTGCCACTGCACTCCAGCCTGGGCAACAGAGCGAGACTCCATCTCAAAAAAAAAACAAAAACAAAAACAAAATAGTTGATACGGGTATTCTGGTGATTATACTGTTCTGTTTAGTTAACCTGAACACATCATTTTTTTCACTGTATTAATGGTACATCACATTTTTTACTGTTAAGTATTTATGTGTGAATAAGTGTAGGAAAACAATTATTTATCAGTAGCATATAATATAAATTCAGAGTCCGGAGTGACAGTGATGCCAAACAACCACATGGTTGGCTGAAATAGTGACACCTTTGCTTCCTGATGGTTCAATGTACACAGACTTTGTTTCAGTTTCACACACAAAATTGTTAAAAGTATTGTATAAAATTACCTTCAGGCTATGTGAACAGGGTATATATGAAGCATAAATAAAATCTGTGTTTAGACTTGGGTGAATTCCAAAGATATCTCATTATGTATATGTATATGCCAATATTCCAAAATCTGAAAAAAAATCCAAAATCTGAAACACTTCAGTTTCCAAGCATTTTGGATAAGGGATACTCAACCTGAAATTTATAATTATGGAGTCACACTTTACATGTGAGCAACATAAGTGAATCAGAAGTGTGATAGATAACTGAAATATATCCCTGAGATATAAAAACAATATAAACATGAATTTAACATGGTAACTATAGATAAGCATACTTCAGAGCTGCAAATTGTCTTAGTAAATGTGTTTTAGGAGCCAATACTATTTGTATACTTTATGATGGGAAACTAATAACAGAAGTTCAGGGGAAAAAAATAGTGATATTTTTACCGTCAGTTCACGTGCATTTTAAGAGGCAATGTGACCGTCATTCAGGGGCATGTCTGGGTTCCTGAATGTTTCCTTTGTCCTGTTTACTATCCACATAGCCTGGACTTCAAATTTAGCACAACTCATGGTTCAGTTTTAACCTCATAATTCCCACATTTTTACAGCTCAGTATTTCTTTCAGTTTTGTAATGTGAATTTATAATCCATTCACACAAACCAAACATGAGACAACAGTCTCTAGTTTTTCAACCTATTTTAACTCCCCTTTTTAAAATTAGTTTGTACCACCCAAAAATAATGCCAACTAATGTCAGAATATGGCACTTAGTAGCTTTGGCCATTGAATATGTGCCTATATTCCTTAAAATTCTATCTTTTCACATGTCTGGTAGCTGATGACTTAGAAAGCAGAGTTATTAGCAAACCAAATCTTTAACAAGACTAGAGGAAGGAGCATATCACCTGGTACATTTTCAAAATTCGAACCCCACAAGTAATCTCAAAAACCTCAAACTCTGAGGGTGGCTATAACTCATATTTTATTTTCAAATGTATAAAACATTTGGTGTATTCTTATCAATTGCCTACTTAGATAGATTGTCCAAGTATAAGAGCTTTTAATTTTCCAGTCAATATAGTCATATTTTTCCTCCCACAAAAAATATGAGCCATAAATTACATCCTAAATTCCTGTTCCTCGATCCCATCCTGGTCCACAGTTTCCTGCCTTTTAAAAGATTTACCTAACACCACTTGTCCACCTAAGTTGCCCAGCCCTGTTTTTGAAACTAAATAAAGGTGGGAACTTAAGCCACTATCAACATCCACAGCAATCTGTTGCTCAGGAGGCCAATCTTGGTTTCTGGAAGGAGCAGCCCTCTCTCTTCACCATGTCAGGTCAGTGTAAAGAATCCCTTCAGTAATTTTAATGTATTTATTCAAGAAGATCCTTTTGAAAGAAAAGCGTTGGCCCAGGATGAAAGCAGATTCATAACTAAAGACCCACAGTCTTTAAGTTTTACAATAAGCCATGCTTAAGAAATCAAAAAGACTACCATGAGAGAGGATATTAATGAGAAAACACAGTATGTTAGAAAGTGTCAGAGGGCAGACGGGTAGAGGAAGCAAAAACAAAATGCATGGAGAGGGCCAGAAAGAAGCAGGAAGAACCACTGGGTGATTCTTTATGTGGGCCAGTTATATAATTCTGCAGAAAGAGCTTCAACTGCCCTCACTTGCCTGGCTAGATTTTTGCATACTCAGCTGGTAATATTCAAGAATAATTGTTCAGCAACTCTAATCAGATGGAACGCCCCTGGATCTTAGGTTCTCTCAGCCACTCTGAAAATACTAGGCAGGCAGCTTTTGTCTATTGAAGAATGAGGATGAAAGTATTTGCCAAGATGGAGAGTAGTTTAAAGTGTAGGGTTGTCCAGCTGGCAAAGCCATGAAAAAAAAAAGGTGCATGTTTTAAGACTGGCACTGGAATTGGTCTTGAAGTTCTACCTACTATCTCAGCGGTTACCTTAGAGGAAGTGCTTGTATGCCACTGCACTACATGATCATGACCTTTTCAAGCAGTTAGCTCATTCCAGATACTGCAGCCAAAGACTAAAATTTTTAATGAGCTAGAACAATCTGTGGCATTGTAAAAACTCTGCAGATTGAATAAGCAATGGTAATTAACAGTGAATTATATATCAGCCAGTCAAACACATACACCTTTCTCTTCACTAGCTACTTCCATCTCTTGCATAGTTAAGTCTTCCCTGATGGGCACTAGTCAGTGAGAAGGCACAGAATTCCCTAATTTCCATCTGCCTATCCACAGTTACCACCACCTCTCAGGGTGACACCCTGAGGGTCATGGGATGGGATAAGTAGAGGGAAAATCAGGCTCTCGGGGATAAAGCCAGGTAGTTTTCTACTCCATGAGGCTGATTGTAATAGTAGTTTGGGCTGCAAGGGAACGAAGTGAGATGGAAATCCAAAGCAAGCTGAAGAGAAAGAACCAAAGGCTTGGTTGGTGGACACAGAAAGCCAAAGTTCTCTTATTAACATGGAGGTCATGGAGGTCGGGGAGGTCCCAGAAATCTGTAAGGTATCAGATAAAGCCCCCCAAAAGGCTGAGACCAGAACAACATGTAAACTAAACCAGCCAAAAGACTGCAATTTGAGACAAATAGCCAATATATGACAAGAGAAGCAGGAAGATCAGCTTCTCTGCAAAGACCAGCTGCAAACCAGGCTGAACAAGGTCTGGAGTCTGTACAGAGGAAAGATTTGCTAGCTTGGGAGGCTGGCAAGGGGACTGGCAAGGGAAGACTTGGGCCTTAACATAGAAGAGGCCCAAGGCCTAAAGTATGAAGAAAGGGATGTCAACCAAGAATGCCAAGACAGGAAGGCACACACACAGGATACTAGGAACAAAAGAAGAGAACCGAGTGTCTTGACATCCTAGAAACAGAGGTTCTAGGTTTATGAGGAATCTGGCTTCCAGTCATGGGACCACACCTTGCCGAGGACTGAAAGGATCCAGTTCCACCTCATCTGCTCCACCACCCTCCATCTCTCCTGTTCTTTTATCCTCTAGTCTGCTTTTCTAAAGTCATGTTAGCATAGGGAATATCTCCTCATTTTCCTTCCTGTCATTTCTTCCTCCTTTTCTTTTCTCTCCTTTTGTGCTTTCTCTCCTTTATCTCCTTCTCCCTCCTTCTACTCTAACCTTCAATACTATAATTTTATAAATGTGGAATTTTGACAAATTATTCTAGTAGGGAGAGTAGGGGAAATGCAGAAATGACATTGAAGTGAGTAAAATTTGTGCTACTCCTATATGACTTCAGAAAACAAATAGATGAAAATATATTTACAAGGCTGTTCACATGACTTTTTCCCAGCTCACCTTCCAGGGCCGACACATTACCTTTATTTAGTCTACCAGCAATGCCTGTGAGAACCACACCTTTGAAAGTTACAACAACAGCTCATCCACAACCCAAAAACTAAGTAGACTTCACACTTGTTGGAGACCATCTTCCCATGGTTCCAAACCAGGTCAAACGTTAGAGTCAAATAAAACAACTTCTCTTTCATCGTCTCTTCTATTGCCTTTTGTACTTAGAATTCTATCTTTCTCTTTTAGTAATCACCTGTATATTTCTTCTGTATGTTTTAAATGTTTATATTTTACACTTAACCCTTTAACATTTGGGGGATTTATTTTTATATATAAGGGTGGGAGGGAGACTAACTTTAACTTGTCTCCTAACATTGTTTGTAAACTAACCCATTCTTTTCCCACTGGTTTATAATTTTTGATATACTGGGTTCCTACTAATATCCTATTAAAAATAACAAAATAATCCCCTTTCCCTGTGGTTACTTAAGAGCAATGAGAATTTCAGGAAGCCTATGGTCTCTCTCTGTGGCCACCAGCACATGATTAATATAATTGATCACTTATGCTTAGCAAAATGCATAAAGGGTAGTATCCTCATGAGAACTTTTGGTTGCTCACGCTCTACTAGAATCTTTGGGCTGCCACAAATGAAATCCAGGACGTTTGTTTCTAGGTTTTATGCCCCTTTGAAAAATTCAAAGCCAGGTAACTAAGATGATGTAAAGCAACCTCAGAGAGAATCCTTCTCACTCTGTAACAGTTGTGTTCTTTGCAGGAGACATACAGCTGATACTCTTTGTTTAGGTTTTATCTTCATTCTCCAATGTCTCTCTCACTGGGATCTGCAGATCTAAAAGGAGACAAATCAAATTCTACATTGGGGGAAGGTGTGCTCAGCCACAACATAGTACTAATTTCATTTAGATGGGCAATAATCATCTATTGAGATCTTCCCACCAAGAACCGTGGCTGTCTGAGACCAGGAAGATGCAGCAGGATGTCTAAGGACCTGTAATATAAAAACCAACCTCCTTGTCCCAGTTCCTTTAACAATCTGAGCAATTAGGTCATTAAAGACAACAAAATCAGTATCACAAAAAAGGGAACTTCATAATATATGGAGAATAAATGAGCTTGCCCATTTTTGGTTTGTTTTTAATAGAAATATCACTGCACTCTGGCGGAAAGACCAGTTAGAAAAAGTTGGCTCTGACTTCCTGATAAATTCCCAGGTGTAGATGCAACACAGGTTACAAGCAAAAAGTGATGGTACTAACTGTGCTAAGAGAATCATAAATCATTACGGTTTGGAAATGAAATTGACATTTCATAATAAAAAAAAAATTCAAACTAGCTACTAGCAATAACTAGAGTCCCCACAGAAAATTCCTATCAAGATCTGCAAATCATCTTGTCAATTATGACTTTCACGCTTCAAAATTCCTCAAGTTGCTCAGTCTCCTTCCGTACTTGGGACTAATTAAACAATCCTTCTCTTCCTTCCACAGTTCACATAGCAGTGTAATCTATATTTACATCATAAGGGTTTGTGCGTGTATGTGTGTGTGTGTGTGTGTGTGGGTGTGTGTGACAGAAAGAGATAGAGTTACTGGTTGATTCTGAGAATTAATTCAGGTTTATGCTGTGTACTATTGCCTCACAATTTGAAAATAATCTCCAACAATTAATGAGGCCACAATCCCAAACTCATAAAGATTAAAAAGAGAGAGAAAGAGAGAGACTCTTTAAACTCCAAACTCACAGAACAGATAAATTTGTGGTTCTTTATATCTAAAAAGGGGGTTCTTTACTTTCTAAAAGTTTTACTGCTAGATTCCTTTAAATAAAAATTTCCCTTGGAGCATTTAAAATGATTTACATTTCCAAAAATTCAATTGACAACTTTTTACATAAACAGCTATTGCACAAGGAAAAGGAAACTTTCACATATGTTTACTTTCAAACCATATCATTTACAGCTGAGTGTGCTAAAAATCTGAGACAGAAATCTAAGAACCATCTCAGAAGGATAGTTCATCTTGGAGGGAGCGTTGGTGAGAAAGTCCTGGTCAGCTAAACATTTATGGCTGCATAGAAAAGGGTGGCATGGGTCGGGCCCGGTGGCTCACGCCTGTAATCCCAACACTTTGGGAAGCCGAGGCAGGTGGATTACTTGAGGTCAGGAGTTCAAGACAAGCCTGGCTAACATGGTGAAACCCTGTCTCTACTAAGAATACAAAAATTAGCCAGGCATGGTGGCAGGCACCTGAAATCCCAGCTACTTGGTAGGCTGAAGCAGGAGAATGGCATGAACCAGGGAGGCGGAGGGTGCAGTGAGCCGAGATCGTGCCATTGCACTCCAGCCTGGGCAACAAGAGCAAAACTCCATCTCAAAAAAAGAAGAAAAAAAGAAAAGGGTGGCATGAAGAAGAACACTCTCAACATGCTTCAAATGGCTGGAAAAAAAAAAAGTTTTCCTCTGTAACCAGGTAATGTTTATGCTGACAGCCTATGGTCTGACTATGCATGGCAACCTGGTCTCAGGGCAAGATTGGCACAGCAACAGCCCACAACCCTCACCCACCTGAGCTGTGGATAGCTCAAGACCACAGATCATGGCTAGTGGCAGCAGGCACAATGAAACCAGCGTGATCTGACTTAGGCAAATGTGTTATTCTTTAGGGAAGTCATAGAGGTAGCACAATAAAAGAAGGCAACACTCAACCCAACAAAGTTTATCTTCAATGATGGCATCATCGACCCTGATGATCCAGCAGAGAATTTAATAACCTCATTAATGTTCATAAAATCACACCAGGTGGGTAACCAGTAAATCTGTCCAACTGGTAATGTCACAGTTGAATGAAAGATCCAGGGAGGATAATGACAGCAGAAAAAATGTGTCACCCTAGAACTAGCCTAGAAGTTGGGGTGGAGAAAGTATGAATTTGGGCCAAAGTTCACATTGCAACAATTGCAGAAAGAGCACAAGGCTAATTGTAGACAAATCATAATACTGAAATATGGTGTGTGGAGCTCTTAGGACAAAGCATCGAAAAAAGACACAATGCTTAGAGTCCAGTTCACAATAAAAAAAAAAAATAGCACCTGCTCTTAAGAAATTGCCAACTATGAGAAACAAATAGAAGTAAGTAACTAGGCCAGGTGCAATGGCTCATACCTGTAATCCCAGCACTTTGGGAGGCCGAGGAAGGTGGATCCCTTGAGCCTAAGAGTTTGAGACCAGCCTGGGCAATGTAGAGAGACCCCCTCTCCACAAAAAAATAAAAGAAAATTAGCCAGGCATGGTGTCATGTGCCTGTGGTCCCAGCTTCTCAGGAGGCTGAAGTAGAAGGATTGCTTGAGCCTGAGAGGTCAAGGCTGCAGTAAGCCATGATTGTGCTACTGGACTCCAGCCTGGCCAATAGAATGAGACCCTGTCTCAGAAATAATAATAATAATAATAATAATAATAATAATAATAATAATGTGAGCAAACTAAAATGCAACGAAAAAGCAATGTACTGGTGCTGTGGGTGCCCAGAAGAAGATCCTGTATCCATGCATCTAACTTTTGGAAGCTTTAAATATAACTGGCTAGAATTTATTTTTCAAATACAGCATCTGTTTTTAAAATTAACTCCCTTTTCATAAAGTGCACTGTTGGTGTGATCTTTGGTTTCATGTTCTTTGCAAGAGACCAATACTCTCTAAGCATCTGAATAATGCAGAGTAAAGATCCAGAGTCCTGCAGGTTTTCTTCAGACTTGGGAGACTGAGGATTCATGTACTTAAGATCAGGGGCATATAAAAGCAATCTACAGACTCAGGTTATAGGGTGTGATTTTCTAAGTCAATATTCAGTTTCACAGCCAGAATCTGTGAAGAGAGAACAAACCATGAGAAAACTAACAATTTTATGGTGATTGAGAGGATCCAAGTTCCTGGAGTTTTAAAAAAATCAGTTTTTAAAGATAAACAAACTAAAACTAGTCCAAGCACTGAGACAGAGTATTAAAAGATGGTAGCACACCCAAAGAGCACGGTGGGTCTTGAATAGCTAACATGTTTCAAGTAGTGGAGGAAGATGTGCTTAAATAGTTACCTATTTAATTGCCTACTTATCTAGTTAGCAGTGATAATGTAAGCTCCCTGATAGCAGGCACTGTATCTTACATGTTTACATGAAAGCAGGTCTTTCATGTTTACATCCCAGGAAACACAAACTGTATTTCCTATGGAAATGGCAAAATAAATTCCTGTTGAATGGAACAATTTTGGTAAATTCTGTATGATTCCTATTCAAATTGGAAAGAATTAAAACAAATAACATTAATTTTCTTTCAATATTAATATGTATCACAGAAATTGTAAAGCAATATCTGACAGAACAAGAAACATAAATTCAAGTAACTTATAGAAGACCTGAATTTGGGGAATATGTCATCATATATAGCATTTCTGTGAAAAAATAATCAAGAGAACAAACTTACACGCGATACTTTTAAAAGAATAATCTATACTCATGAACATTTAGTATGTGGTATAGTTTGGATTTGTCTCTCTACCCAAATTTCATATCAAATTGTAGTCCCCAGTGTTGGAGGAGGGGGCTGTTGGGAGGGCTTGATTGGATCAAGAGGGCAGACTTCTCCCTTGCTGTTCTCATGATAGTGAGTGAGTTCTCACAAGATCTGGTTGTTTAAAAGTATGTAGCACCTCCCTCTTCTCTTTCTTCCTCCTGCTCTAGCCATGTAAAACATGCCTGCTTCCCCTTCCCCTTCTGCCATGATTGTAAGTTTCCTGAGGCCTCCCCAGCCATACTTCCTTTACAGCCTGCTGAACCATGAGCAAAGTAAGTCTCTTTCATTTACAAATTATCCAGCCTCAGGTAGATCTTTATAGCAATGTGAGAACAGACTGATACAATATGCTCATATTTGCACTCCACAATGGCACAGGCTTCACTAGATGTATGGTATCCATTTCAACTAAAAGCAATCTGAAATGCAAAAAAATCATCTAGATTGATCATCCAGTAGAAGTTTTACTCAATCAGCAGGCTTTACTCAAGAAACATTACATGCCCTGGGGGGCTAGATCAACTTTCCATAAAAGGAATTCAAATTTTACATGATATCTCTATGTCTTACCCTCAGTGAAAATTGGTGAAAATTTCTTTCCTGGCTCAAAGCCTAGATCTGTACTTTTTTTTTAACTGAATAAACAAAGATAATTATTTTGCATCCTGAGCATGAGGTCATATCATTCATTGAGAAGAGAGGTTCTTTTTGTAGCAGTCACTATTAATTCTCTAATAGTCATTTCTCCCATCCTCCTTGCTAACAGAACCCCATGTAGTTCAGGCAGCCCTATGCCCAGTCCCATGGGATGAGTAAGGAAATGTATAATAATCAGTCAAGGGCATTCCATTGCTCTTGGCTGGTGATTAGCCTACAAGTGGATATATGCCCTACTTCTGGCTAAACAGAAGTAAAGAAAGCATTTTCTTTTGGGATACAGTCAGGAATGCAAGGACAAAGAGCTCACACCTCCTACCCTCCCTTCCTATCTGTGTGTGGTGTGGATATGCTATGTAGAGGTGTGGCAGCCATTTTGCAATCATGAGGTGACAAGCCTGTGAAGGAACACCAATGCTATGATGTTGAGCAAATGAAAGGACCTGGGTCCTTGATGGTAACACTGAGTCACTGAACCTATCTGCAGATGGTTTATCTCCATGTCTTATTGAGTGAGTAAATAAAAGCCCTCATGATTTACAGTTATGTAAGGCTCTCTGATAAGTGCTCCCCAAAGCATCCTAACTATCTATAACAACTCTTAGACATTTAGGCAAGGATAATTTAAAATTTAACCAGTCCTGCTTCTCCTATATTTTCTATAATCCAACAACCTTTTTCTCTTTTCATCAACTTTCCTCTGAACTTAGATCACATGGTTCATCATTCAACCATACACTTACTATAACATTTTTAACTCCCTCACACCCTTATCCTTCTGCTGCACTGGCTCAGCAAAACCCCATCCTAGATCAATCAATCATCCACATTTCCCATCCGTATCTAGGATCCTGAATATCACCAGAGAAAATCATAGAATCAACAGATTAGTGTCATCACAAATTCAGTCTGCATTCTCAGTTCAGTCCTAAGGAATAACCTATAATCCTTCTCTGCATCTCTAGCTAGTCACTCTCCCAACAACTGTTTCAAGCCTTCACCAACTCATCCCTCCCTGTCTATGTACATCTCATTTCTGCTTTATAGGACTCCCTCAGTTTCTCAGCAGCCACTCACAGTTACCCGTATTCACTCTCACCATTGTCTTTATTGATTGTAATCATTAAGTTGTTCACTAAATACCCCAACGATCCACCTTTATAGCATTTGTTAAGATCACACTAGCTGATCCTCTAGTACTTGGACAGTGGTTAACGAACTCTCACCAATAGTGAGGGGAAATGACATGTGTTGCTTTCGGACCAGGGCATTTCATTGCCAGTGAGGGCTCCTCCAGAACTTTCTTCCCCTCTGTCATGGAAACCAACAATATCTCAGTTCCATCTAGGTGACTATAATGAACAAAGCAGAAGTAGACACGTAGCATGAATAAGAATTAAACTCGTTAAAAAAAAAAACTAAGATTTTGAAGTGTTTGTTATTGTTGCATAATATAGCCTATTCTCACTGATACATCTTTTCTCTTACATCACAAAATATTGTGTCTCCCCTGTCATCTCTCAGATGTATCCTTCCACTTGTTCTCCATCCTCAGAGATGCTGTTCCATCAATCATTCTGTCTCTCTTATATATCGTGTGTATGTATGTATATATATGTGTGTGTGTCTGTGTGTGTATGTATATATGTGTGTGTATATATATACACACACATATATTTTATATATATATCCTCAACCTTTCCTTCATTCTGCATGTATCTTTAAACCTTTCCTTCATTCCATTTAGTATAAAAATTTGTTTAAAGTAGTGTTACAGCTTTTTTAGAATTTGTCTAGCAGGCTTTCTGGTTTTCACCATAAAATGCCCCACACGGACTAATAAAAAAAAATTGTTAAAAGTAACCCCATATTTTCAATCTTTTAAAAATGTCCATTATTGATCCTATATATCTCCATAGCTTCCATCTTTATGTCTTTCCCTTATAAAACACAAGTGGGTCAAGGCCTACTGCCTTGCTTGAACAATATAGTCTTTATGTACTGCATTCACTTGCACTCTTCCCATTTACTCTTCATCCCATCATAATCTCATAGCCACCTCACACCATTCTACGACAGCATTCTTCCCAAAATTATATGTGCACTCAGGTGCTAAACTGAATGGACCCTGTACTGGACAAGCTGGCCTATTTTCCTCTGTACATACTTCTTCTTCTTTCTTAAAATGGCCCATTCCCAGCCCTTCTGAATGAATCTGCTGTGCCTTGGCCTACAGGCTCCATTACATAGACTTGGATGTACTTTCCACCATGAGACTCCCCCAAGAAACTCCCCAAATCAGGCACAGCTGATTAGCCATGAGAAGACAGCTAATCTAAAGGCAACCAATCCATAGGAAAGGCCAGAAAATTGGGATTTGTGTACAGGTTCAAGAAAAGGATCTCGGCTAGGTTTTCTTTCTCTCATGAATTTGAGCTAAGATCAAAGGAAAGTTGGCATTTGATGACGAGGAAATGGTCCTAGGAGTCTATGAAAAATTGGAACTGGGTCAGCACTACGGCCATATACAAGAAACCACAGAGCAAGGTATTAGCTGAGAACAGGTAACTGGGCAGCAACTCAGAGATGACCTCTGGAGAAGGGGTAGAGTGAATAGCTTTGGTTCCTACTGGCCTTCCAGACCCAGTGGCCAGTCTTTTTGTGGTCCAGTTGTGCTTGGCTTTTGTCTCAGATTTATATACAATTCTATAAAGTATCCTTAAAATGAATCCCTATTACTATAATGTGAGGGGATTTTTTTTCTTAGCAAAAAGTTCTTTTAACCCTTATTTCATTTTGCCTCCTTATAGTATTTTGCAATATTGACCAATCCCTCTCTTGAAAGTTTCTCCCACCTTGCTTCTCCGACAGGAGGAGCCTCTGCTTCATCTTCTATTGATACCTCTCATTTCTTCTCAGTCTCCTTCAGTGGCTTCTCTTCCTCTGCCAATCTGTTAAATGTGAAGGTGACTGAAATTCCCCTGTTGGCTTTGGTCCACACTCCCTGGACACTTTACCCACTGTCATGTCTTCAACTCCAATCTAGCTGCAAACTCTTGGGATTTAATTCTGCCCAACTAATGTGAATTTTTGGAAAATCACTGTATTAGGGTTCTCTGGAAGGACAGAGCTAATAGGATATATGTATATATGAAAGGGAGTTTATTCAGGAGAACTGACTCACGTGATCACAAAGTAAAGTCCCACGATAGTTCGTCTGCAAGTTGAGGAGCAAGGAAGCCAGGGGTGGATCAGTCCGAGTCCCAAAACCTCAAAAGTAGAAGAGACGACAGTGTGGCCTTCGGTCTGTGGCCAAAGGTCCGAGAGACCCTGGCAAACCACTGGTGTAAGTCCAAGAGTCTAAAAACTGAAGAACTTGGAGTCTGATGTACGAGGGCAGGAAGCATTCAGCATGGGAGAAAGATGAAGGCCAGGAGACTCAGCAAGTCTGCTCTTCCATCTTCTCCTGCCTGCTTTACTCTAGCCACACTGGCAGCTGATTAGATGGTGCCCACCCAGATTGAGGGTGGGTCTGCCTCTTCCAGTCCACTGACTCAAATGTTAATCTCCTTTGGCAACACCCTCACAGACACACCTAGGAAAAATACTTGGCATCCTTCAATCCAATCAAGTTGACACTGAATATTAACCATCACAATCACATTTACATTTGTTAAAACAATCATTCAATTATTAGTCATAAGACTTCACATTTTTCATTTCTAAGATAGTTTGTAACACTGTAGTGAAGGTCTGTGACCAAGTTCTCAACACTATCATTCATTAGTGCATAATAACAACCTTTCAACAAATATCTGATAAAGATGCCACAGTAGAAAATTCTGGAGCAAAAATATAAAATAAAATTATTCAACTAAATCTTCAGTTTAAATTTGCTCAGAGGGTTTTGTTTGGTTATGTACAAGAATTTTGTAATTTAAATTTTTATGTAGAAAACTGTGTAATCAAAGTAATTATTAAGACTGAAGTCAGCCATGAGTTGGGAAAAAAAATCACTACACACACACACATTATCTATGAATATATTATACATACATACACATATTTATGACCAATGGAAGAAGGAAGTCAGGAATTGATTAATGTCATATAACTGTAAAGAAATAATTTAAGATCATAATATTTCATTGCCTCACTTTATAGATGAAACAGAGAAACAGAGAACCCATGATTTGCCCAAAGTGACACAGCTTGCTCATTGCAGAATTGGACAGTCGTGAAGGTCAACTGACTCCTTCTCCAGCACTCTTCCCAGCACACTATGCTTTATCAACTGCTCTCAAACATAATGGCAATATTTTTGAGGATTGAAGAAGACATAGTCAGAGGGCATTTATCTTCTCAACAGAATCTCCTTCTGCCATGGCACTTTTCTCCCATTAGGATCCTGCATATGGGAGATGGGAAGCAGATGTTATGAGAACGGATGTGAGAAAAGGCAAATTCACACCTTCTCTTTGATGAGCTTAGAAGGACTCAAACTACTCTCTCTGGAGTAGTTAAGACATCTGCTGAGATGTACCAAAGCTTTGATCCAAGAGCTTGAAGTCCCAGAGTCATGAAATCACCCCAGGAAGAGAAATAGGGTGGGTTTTAAATCACATTTGGTAATTAATATCTGGGTATAAAATATACTAAAATTAGAAAAAATGGTGACAGATAAAAATTGTTAGAAAATGTTCCAAATTATTTCATTAGAAGATTGCTCTAAAGTGCCATATTTAAACATACCAAGGCTATTGTTTTCAATAATTAAAATATTCTACTACTTTTAAAGATTTATGTGTGAATATGTATGTGTGTATGTGTGAGTGCATATATATATCTCTGTGTCTATATATGTGTGTATATTTACATATACATGTAATATTGAGAGTGACAGAGAGGCAAACTGCAAGAGCTTGAACAGAGAACCTCATCTGAATCGGGAAAAATTAAAATCCTGGGTTCAATCACCAGGCATCTGGCACTTAATAATGGCCTTTCCAAATTATAAGTTTAGCTTTTAAATCTTTTTTAAAGCACATGAAATGTTTTAAATTTATAAAACACTATACAGTTATATATATAGAGAGAGAGCTATAGTTGTAAATTTAAATGTACAGTTATAGATAATGTATGGTTATAAATAGCTATAGCTATATATATTATGATAACTGTATATATAATTATAAATATATGTAAGTATATATATATACATTTATGCCCACAGACACACACATACACACACAAAGTGACAAAAACATTTGCGGGTTTTAATTGAACTCTTCATATACTATGCCAAGAGAAAACATTCTGATTTCTCAAATCAGATCACAAAACAATCAAAAGATGAGGGAGGCATTGAACTGCAGCTTTGACTGAATGGCTGCATTGAATCCAAAATTCCAGAAATATTTTTACTGCCTACTCTTTGCAGTCAGGTTATATTAAATCATTTATATTCTGAGATACCCACATGCATGATGAAGTCAGCATCTCTCTTTAGAACAGCAATATCAGACAGCCCACCGGGGTGGTGGTGAGTGATTGTGCAACCCAGCCCAGGAAACCATGCTTTTCACACAGATCCTTGCAACCAGTGGATCGGGAGATCCCCTCATGAGCCCATGCCACCAAGGTCTTGGGTCCCAAGCACAGAGCTGTGTGGAATCTCAGCTGCCACTCAGGCATGCAGGGAGACCAGGAGTTTTTGCGTACTCTGGCCCCAGGAATTCCAGCGAAGTAGGAGATTCACCCATTCCTCTCGGAAGGGGGCTGAAGCCAGGTAGCCAAGTAGTGTCGTTCAGTGGGCCCCACTTCCACGACACCTCACACTGGTTTGGAATTCCAGTCAACCGGCAGCAGCAGGTTGGAGAATGCCTGAGATGACCAAGTTCCCAGTGGGGGAAGGATAGCCAACATCTCTGCGGCTGGAGTCAGCCTGTTCTGGCCTGCTGGCTCTAGGGAGTCTGGGTGGTCCAGGCTGGGAGGAATTCCCCACAGCACAGCACATTTGCTGTGGCAGATCATGGCCAGACTGCTTTAAGTGGGGCTCTAATCCATCCCTTCTCACCAGGTGGGGCCTCCCCATGGCAATTTTGGCAACTGCAGCCAGGGTTTTATGGACAGAACTCTGATCTCCCTGGGACACAGCCCCCTGGGGAAGGGAGCGGTCATGGTATCTAAGGCTCAGCTAACTTAGCCTTTCCCACCTGCTGGCTCCGAAGAGTCTGGGGGCTTCTGTACAAAAGGGGGTTTCCACCAGCGCAGTGCACCCACTCCAACAAGGGGAAGCCAGACTGCTTCTTTAAGCAGATCCCTGATCCTTTTCCTCCTGACTGGGTGAGACCTCCCAACAGAGGTCTCCAGGCACTTCCTACAGAAGCGTTTGGGCCGGCATCAGTTTGGTGCCCATCTGGAAAGGACCTCCCAGAAGAAGGAGCAGGCTGCCATCTTTGCTGTTTTGCAGCCTCCACTGGTGATACCTCCAGGTGCAGTGGAAACCCAGGTGATTAGGGTCTGGAGTGCACACCCAACAAACTGCAGCAGCCCTACAGAAGAAAGGTCTGACTGTTAAAAAAAAAAAACAAAAAAAAAAAAACAGAAAGCAACAACAACAACAACATAGACAAAAGAGACCCCATAAAAACCCCTTTCGATAGACTGGATTAAGAAAATGTGGCACATATACACCATGGAATACTATGCAGCCATAAAAAATGATGAGTTCATGTCCTTTGCAGGGACATGGAAGAAATTGGAAAGCATCATTCTCAGTAAACTATCGCAAGAGCAAAAAACCAAACACCGCATATTCTCACTCATAGGTGGGAATTGAACAATGAGATCACATGGACACAGGAAGGGGAATATCACACTCTGGGGACTGTGGTGGGGTGGGGGGAGGGGGGAGGGATAGCACTGGGAGATATACCTAATGCTAGATGACGAGTTAGTGGGTGCAGCGCACCAGCATGGCACATGTATACATATGTAACTAACCTGCACAATGTGCACATGTACCCTAAAACTTAAAGTATAATAAAAAAGAAACCCTTTCAAAGGTCAGCAACCTCAAAGATCAAAGGTAGATAAGCCCACAAAGATGAGAAAGAATCAATGCAAAAATGCTGAAAACTCAAAAAGCCAGAGTGTTTCCTCTCCTCCAAATGATCGAACACCTCTCTAGCAAGGGCAAAGAACTGGGGTGAGGATGAGATGGCTAAATTGACAGAAGTAGGCTTCAGAAGATGGGTAATAACGTACTTCATTGAGCTAAAGGAGCACGTTCTAACCCAATACAAAGAAGCTCAGAATCATGATAAAACAATACAAGAGCTGATAACCAGAAGAGCCAGTTAAAAGAGGACTATAAATGACCTGATGGAAAAACAACACAAGAACTTCACAATGAAATCACGAGTGTCAATAGCCAAATAGACCAAGCAGAGAAAAAACAGAATTTACATTCTTCTAATCACCACATGGCACTTACTCTAAAACTGATCACATAATCAGAAGTGAAACACTCCTCAGCAAATGCAAAAGAACTGAAATCATAACAAATAGTCTCTCAGACCACAGTGCAATCAAATTAGAAATCAAGGTTAAGAAACTCACTCAAAACCAAACAACTACATAGAAACTGAACAACCTGGCTGAATGCAGTGGCACATGTCTGCAATCCCAGCACCTTGGGAGGCTGAGATAGGCAGATCACCTGAGGTCAGGAGTTTGAAACCACCCTGGCCAACATGGTAAAACCCTGTCTCTACTAAAAATACAAAAATTAGCTGGGCATGGTGGTGGGCACCTGTAATCCTAGCTACCCAGGAGGCTTAGGCAGGAGAATCACTTGAACTAGGAAGGCAGAAGTTGCAGTGAGCCGAGATCGTGCCACTGCACTCCAGCCTGGGCAACAGAGTGGGACTCCACCTCATAAATAAATAAACAAATAAATAAATTGAACAGTCTGCTCCTGAATGACTCCTTGGTAAATTATGAAATTAAGGCAGAAATTAAGAAGCTCTTTGAAACTAATGAGAACAAAAGGACAACATACCAGAATCTCTGGGATGCAACTAAAGCAGCAGACAGCAGAAGGCAAAAAATAATCAAGATCAGAGCAAAGCTGAAGGAGATAAACACCAAAATCCCTTCAAAAAATCAACAAATTCAGGAGTTTTTTTTTGAGAAAATTAATAAAATAAATAGACTGCTAGCTAGACTAATAAAGAAGAAAAGAGACAAGAACCAAATAGACACAATCAGAAATGATAAGGGGGATATCACCACTGACCACACAGAAATACAAACAACCATCAGAGAATACTATAAACACCTCTATGCACATAAATTAGAAAACCTAGGAAAAATGGGTAAATTCCTGGACACATACAACCTGACTGAACCAAGACTGAACCAGGAAGAAATTGAATCCCAGAATAGACCAATAACAAGCTCTGAAATTGAGGCAGTAACAAATAGCCCACCAACCAAAAAAAAAGCCCGGGACCCGATGGATTTAGAGCTGAATTCTACCAGAGGTACAAAGAGGAGCTGGTACCATTTCTTCTGAAACTACTCCAAACAATTGAAAAGGAAGAATTCCTCCCTAACTCATTTTATGAGGCCAGCATCATCCTGATACCAAAAGCTGGCAGAGATACAACTAAGGAAAACTTCCCTCCAATATCCCTGATGAACATCAATGCAAAAGTCCTTAATAAAATACTGGCAAACCAAATCCAGTAGCACATCAAAAAGCTCATGATCAAGTTGGCTTCATCCCTGGGATGTTGGTTCAACATACACAAATCAATAAACATGATTCGTCACATAAACAGAACTAAAGACAAAAACCACATGATTATCTCCATATATGCAGAAAAGGCCTTCGATAAAATTCAACATCCCTTTGTGTTAAAAACTCTCAATAAACTAGGTATTGAAGGACCATACCTCAAAATAATAAGAGCCATATATGACAAACCCACAACCAATATCGTACTGAATGGCCAAAAGTTAGAAACATTCCCCTTGAAAACTGGCACAAGACAAGAATGCCCTCTCTCACCACTCCTATTCCACATAGTATTGGAAGTTCTGGTCAGGAAAATCAGGCAAGAGAAAGAAATAAAGGGTATTCACATAGGTAGAGGGGAAGTCAAATTATCATCGTTTGCAGATGATATAATCCTGTATCTAGAAAACCCCATCCTCTCAGCCCAAAAGCTTCTTAAAACTTATAAGCAACTTCAGCAAAGTCTCAGGATATAAAATCAATGTGCAAAAATCGCTAACATTCCTTTACACCAACAACAGGCAAGCAGAGAGCCAAATCATGAATGAACTCCCAAGCACAAATGCTACCAAGAGAATAAAATACCTAGAAATACAGCTAACAAGGGAAATACAGGACATCTTCAAGGAGAGCTACAAACCACTGCTCAAGGAAATCAGCAAGGACACAAACAAATCGAAAAACATTCCATGCACAATATCATGAAAATGGCCATACTGCCCAAAGTTATTTATAGATTCAATGCTATTCCCATCAAACTACCATTGACATTCCTCACAGAATTGGAAAAAACTCTTTTAAAATTCATATGGAACCAAAAAAGAGCTCGAATAGCCAAGACAATCCTAAGCAAAAAGATCAAAGCTGGAGGCATCATATCACCCATCTTCAAACTATACTACAAGGTTACAGAAACCAAAACAGGATGGTACTGGTAAAAAAAAAAAAAAAAAAAAAAAAAAAAAAAAAAAACAGACACATAGACCAATCCAACAGAATGGAGAACTCTGAAGTAAGACCACACACCTACAACCACCTGGTCTTTGACAAACCTGACAAAAACAAGCAATGAGGGAAGGACTCCCTATTTAATAAATGTTGCTGGGAGAACCGGCTAGCCATATGCAAAAGATTGAAACTGGACCCCTTCCTTACTCCATATACAGTAATTAACTCAAGATGGATTAAAGACTTAAAATGTAAAACCCAAAACTACAAAAACCAGAGAAGAAAGTCTAGGAAATACCATTCAAGACATAGGCACAGCCAAATATTTCATAATGAAGATGCCAAAAGGAATTGCAATAAAAGCAAAATTTGACAAATGGGATCTAATTAAACTAAAGAGCTTCCACACAGCAAAAGAAACTATTATTAGAGTGGACAGACAACCTACAGAATGGGAGAAAATTTTTGCAATCTATCCAACTGACAAAGGTCTAATATCCAGAGTCTACAAGAAACTTAAACAAATTTATAAGAAAAAAACAACCCCATTAAAACATGGGCAAAGAACATGAAAAGACACTCTCAAAAGAAGACATTCACGCAGCCAACAAACATATGAAAAAAAGCTCAACATCACTGATCATTAGAGAAATGCAAATCAAAACCACAGTGAAATACCATCTCACACCAGTCAGAATGGCAATTATTAAAAAGTAAAGAAACAACAGATGCTGGTGTGGTTCTGGAGAAAAAGAAATGCTTTTACACTGTTGGTGGGAATGTAAATTAGTTCATTCCTTGTGCAAGATAGTGTGGTGATTCCTCAAAGATCTAGAAGCAGAAATGCCATTTGACCTAGCAATCCCATTACTGGGTATATAACCAAAGGAATATAAATCATTCTATTATAAAAATACATGCACGACTATATTCATTGCAGCACTATTCACAATAGCCAAGATATGGAATCAACTCTAATGCCCATCAGTGATAGGCTGGATAAAGAAAATGTGGTACATATACACCATGGAATACTATGCAGCCATATAAAGGAACAAGATCATATCCTTTGCAGGGAAATAGATGGAATTACAATCCATCATCCTCAGCAAACTAACCCAGGAACAGAAAACCAAACACTACATGTTCTCACTTACAAGTGGGGGTTGAACAATGCAAACACATGGATATAGGGAGGGGAACAACACACACTGGGGTCTGTTGGGTAGGATGAGGGGTGAGAGAGCATCAGGAAGAATAGCTAATGGATGCTGGGCTTAATACCTAGGTGATGGGTTGATCTGTGCAGCAAATCACCATGGCACACGTTTACCTATGTAACAAACCTGAACATCCTGTCCATGTACCCTGGAACTTAAAAGTTGCAAGAAGAAAAACAAACAAACAAACAAACAAACAAACAAACAGTAATGCCCACAGTCAAAGCATGGCAGGTACTTCAGCAGCCAATTTTTTTCACCCTTCAGGCATGGATTAAAGTGCCCTTTTATGGCAGTGTTCAGAGTTAGCCCGCAAACCTCAGAATCTCCTCAATATTCTTTGTTAGCCCTCAGCCTCAACTCTCAGTTCCTAGTCAAATCACTGTTGCCCAGAGTCACCTTCTTCCAACTCCGGCCAGCAGATCTTCATTTCTAACCTTACTTGCCTCTCGAATCCCTTGAACACTCCCTCTGGCCTGGCTGTACTCAGCTCTGGATGAATAAAAATGGTTTCTCAGCTCTCCCTTTTTCTAGACCTTCTATTCTGTACTCTTTTCCAAGATGGTCAGGGACCCTTAAACCTTGCCCTATACCCCCACACTTTTTAATGATTCTACCTTTTCTTATAACATCTAATTCTCTACTCTTTAGGCACCTCCTCTCAGAGCCACCTCCTGAGACCAACACTCCAAATTCAGTTGATTCATCTCAACAGGAGCGGCCAAGGAATCCTCACTCTGTACAGATATTAATCTACACTAAAGGCAATATCATCATGCTTAACCGACCAGATGAAAGTGTTCTCGATCCCCATACATTTCAGGAAGTTTACTGTAATAGAAAAAAAACTGAAGTCCAACAGAAATGAATCTCTGTGCTTGGAGACTGTCACTGACACCCCAAGTTCACGACAGTCCTTAGCCTCAGGAAAGCAAGTAATTGATTCATCTGTTGTATTTTTAACGTCTTTACCACTTGTCAATGTGCTGCTCTGTTTATAAGCTGCAAAATGTTTGGGATTAGATGTCTGCTCTTAAAATCTGCTACTTTTGGGAGGGTTTTCAGTAATACCTCAGGGTACTGTTTTGGACAATTTCAGGAATTCTCTTTGTAAGCTTATGAAGGGCCATTCTCTTAAAACGCAC
This sequence comes from Homo sapiens, assembly GCF_000001405.40. Classification (NCBI taxonomy): domain Eukaryota; kingdom Metazoa; phylum Chordata; class Mammalia; order Primates; family Hominidae; genus Homo; species Homo sapiens. The sequence goes on from NC_000005.10 coordinate 118,768,564, forward strand.
TGGATTGCCCCCTCTTATTTGGTACATTTTCTCTAACACAGACAAATTTGTCTCTCTCCAAGTCTCCAAGTTTAGTGCAGGCAGGAAAAATAGTATATTGTGTCTCTTGAAGATACTACTAAATCATCCCCTAGCATGCTATTATATATTTATTCATGTCTTGTGTTTACTGTCTGTCCAGTGACTAGCAGGTAAGTGACAAGGAGGGCAGGGATTATCTTTGGTCTCTGGTTAATCCATTCCATTGGCCTATAACAGGCCCTGGCCCAAAGTGTAAGTTCAGTAAATATTTGTTAAATTTGTTAAGCAATTAATCTTCTGCTATAAAAATTTAACCTGAATGCTTTGGCACTTATTATGTTGAAACAAGATGTACAGTTTGAATTGAGAAATACTTCATGAGCTTTGAGGGAAGAGTAAAAGGAGATCATGATCAGTCCATCCTACTCTAATGGTATGAATTACTCCGTGAGGAGCAAGAAACATGACATTTCTTGTGTTCCAAATTGAATCAAATCTGGCTCAATACCCACAGAAAAAGTTTTTTGAGAAACCCAATAAAAGCCACCTTTTGGATTACCTCCCCTCTCATTTTCAAACAACAATTCTAGAGCTATAGAGTTCAGAAAAATGAAACAGGGGTTGTTGGTACTCTATTTTGGTTTCTGATGCTTTTGGTATATAGTAAAAGAAATGGTTCCACCCATAGTTCTTCTCCCTTCATCCCAAGTTCAGCCATGGGGACACTACTGAAGCACCCAAGATGATAGGATATAGTTTCCAGTCTATATAGGCACCACATGGCCATCACCATGTAAAATTCTTGCATCCACAAAGGCATTGCTTTCCAGTGGGATCAGATATCTATCATTAACAGAAACTACAAACCCTGATTCCTTTCCTAGTTCTCAAGTATCATCTAATATTCCAGAGTTTCTTTCATTTTCCTCTTAATTCTCTCCCTTCCCACCTCTCAAACAAATAAACAAAAAAATGTATTCATACCTGCTTTGCTATATCTCATAATGGTGTGTAATCACCTATTCTTACAGATGGACAGAACACAGACCCTAGAAACAAAAATATTTGACTTGTCTTTAAGGAACAAATAAAAGCCAGGTTTTAGGACATTCTTGATTTAGGTGGTGAAGTAGGGAATTTCAGGTAGGATTGGGTTCAGCTGCTTGTAACCAAAGCTCCAAAACAACAATGGCCTTAAGAAGACAAACATTTGTTTTATCTCCCTTAGAAGAAGTCCTGAGATAGCTCCCAGTGCTGGTATAGAGGCTCCTATCCTATATTCCACCAACTTTACCATGCCACCACATGATCCAAGATGATTGTTCATGTATTGGCCATATGCTAATAAACAGAAAGAAAAAGGGTAAAGGGTACATGACAGATATTTTTAAAAATTCCCTTGGGCAGCCATAATCTTTCATTACAGCTCACTGGCAAGTCACATAGCCAGACTAGTACAAGGGAAGATGAAAACCATAGCCTTATCCTACATGGCCATCTTGGATTTTGGGAAAGGCAACTAGCAGTCTATTCTTTGAAGGGTGAACATTCATTCTGTTCTTTCATCATAAGTTGGTAATAGTTAAAAGCAAAACTGAGATTTTTTAATAGGTCATCAAACTGTACAAAATACTAATAAGTAATCCTTTTATTCTTCCAAGTTTAAGACCCATTTCAAGTCTCAATTGCCACTTGCCCCACACTTTGGTTCAAGGTGAGAGATAATGTCATTTGTCATCAACATCTTCTCAAAATTCTTTTGTCATCTGACTTGGTCTCAGATAGATTAATAGACATTCATGAGATATATAATAATAAAAGAATGGGATATAAGAGAAACAAAGTCTAAAATCAAGCCTAATTTGAATTCTATGAAGGTTGGGCATGAGGACAGAAGTAATAGAGTAAGTGAATCTTGTCCCCAACTCCACTCCCACCAAATTACAAGCTTGAAGAATTTGTATCATTGTTTTATACCTCCCAGAATGTTCTATATAACCAGCACTCAATTTTGCTACATTGAGTTGAAAATTGATAATAATATGAATAGACATAAGAACTTTTGTGAAAAAAAAGATGAAGAAGAATTAAAAACGCTTTCAAATTAATGACATGGCAGAAAAGAGCATTGTACCAAAAGTTGGCACACCTAGGTTCTATAACTGTCTTCACTAGTTATTGCTTATTGGACCTCAGTTTCCCCATGTGGAAAATGGAGATTATTACTCCTGCCCTTATCTTTCAGATTTTAATTATGAATAAATATGAATTGCAAAGTGTCATATAGGATATCACTTTTCTGTATTCTTCTTCCTAGACCTACCCAGTAAGTATGCCAGATCGAGGAACTTTTGCAACCTGGGGGGATAAGCAAAACAAAATGAAATATGGGAAGCATGTATTGAAGGAAGAACCATTCTTTAAGGCATTGGATAACCTGCTAATAAAATTCCCGGAAGCAATAAACATGACGATCAGAGCAGCAACTACAAATCACTCAAGGAAGGACCTTCCACCATAGCATCTAGGCTCCCTCTGCCATGGCTCATCTAGGTTCAAGGCCTCTGACCTGGTTCATATTATGTTTCTGCAAGTGTCATGATCATAATAATCACAATGAGCGGAGCTGTAATCAGATGTCCTTGAAAGGCCCACAAGTCATAGGAAATAAGCACTATGACTTAAAAGGATGTTAAACTACTGTTCAATTACACCAGCCACACATATCCTATTTGAAGAATTCCATTAAATGTCTTTTGGAAAAATCACAATGTGGTTGGAATTAAAATTCAGACACTACCAATGAACCGGGGAGAGGGCCATTTTCACTCCTGTTCAGTAATTTGTGGGGATAATAAACTTATCTCTGGCCTTTGAGAATATATAATAGAGAAACTGATTGAGTTTGGGGGTTTAAGGAAGTTTCCTCAGAAGAGGCACTTAACCTGAATCTGAAGAACTAAAATTCTCAAGTGAAGAGGAAGAGGAAGGGATTTCTAGACAAGAAAAACAGCATGTGCAGGGCCCTGAGGCAGGAAAGAGAAGAGCCAACTCATGGAACTGAGAGAAGGGCAGTATGAGTGGAGCAAGAAGAGCACAGAAGAGACCAGTGCCAGACAAGGCTGGAGAGCTGGACTATCCGAGTTGGGGATCTTTGCTTGTGAGCCAAAGAAGTTAACTCTGTCTCACTCATCAAAATAAGGAGAGACTTGTTTTATTCAAATACACTAAAGAACTCAAAAAGTTGAAAGATGTTCATTGGATGTAGCACAACCAAGGTCACTGGTCATCTTACAAGTGCAGTTTTGGTGGCTCCAGAGTCAAATGGCCTGAGGGGTTATTGGGAAGTAGGGTGAAGGAGGAAGCAGGCACACACTGTGTTTGGGAAGTCTGGCTGTAACTGAGGAGATCAGAGAGAAAGCATTGGTCCAGGATATGGGTGCAGGGTCAAGGCACACTCTTTTTAAGATTAAGAAGTCTGAAAAATAGGCCAAGCACAGTGGCTCATGCCTGTAACCCCAGCACTTTGGGGGGCCGAGGCAGGCGGATCACAAGGTCAGGAGATCGAGACCATCCTGGCTAACATGGTGAAACCCTGTCTCTACAAAAAATACAAAAAATTAGCCGGGCATGGTGGCGGGTGCCTGTAATCTCAGCTACTCGGGAGGCTGAGGTAGGAGAATGGCGTGAACTGGAGAGGCGGAGCTTGCAGTGAGCCGAGATCCCGCCACTGCACTCCAGCCTGGGCGACAGAGCGAGACTCCGTCTCAAAAAAAAAAAAAAAAAAAAAAAAAAAAGTCTGAAAAATAGTTCAATGGCAATGAAAAAGAATGGTTGAGTAGACAAGAGAGAAAGGATAATGTTTAGCATATTCAGGAAGGAAAGGAATTTGCAGCACACCTGGAAGCATTGTTCTTAGCAATAAGGAGGAACAGCTCCTCTATGCCTCCCAAAACGGGGAAGGAGGTACAGATGCAAGGTGAGTCCTCTGTGATGGTAGTAAACAAATGCAGTTCCCAGGTGATGGCTTCTACTTGGTTTTGAAGTAGGTCATTTTCTGAGATGAGGGAGGAGTGGGAGGTACGTAAGGAGAATTAGGAAATTTAAAGAAGTAGAGAAGTTGGGGTTTTCTGTGTTGGTTTTTGTTTTTGTTTTTGAGACAGGGTCCTGCTCTGTCACTCAGGCTGAAGTGCAGCAGAGCCATCACAGCTCACTGCATCATTAACTTCCCAGGCTCAGGTGATCCTCCCACCTCAGTCTCCCAAGTAACCAGGACTATAGGCATGCACCACCATACCCAGCTAATTTTTGTATTTTTGGAGAGACAGTGTTTTGCCATGTTGCCCAGGCTGGTGTTGGACTCCTGGCCTCAAGCAATCCCCCAGCCCCGACCTCCCAAAGTGTTGGGATTACAGGTGTGAGCCACTGCACCCAGCCGGGAAAGATTTTTAAAAGTCACTGTGGGAAGTGGGAGAATAAGAAACAAGAAACACAGAGATTCTAGTCAGGGTTGAGGGCACAATTAAGAGGTGTGTTTAATATTCCTGAATATTGACTGTGAATGTGGTATCTTGTCCCAAAATATGGGCAGGAACCATCTTTGTATTCTCTGTAAACACACAGTAGATGTTTGACATATTCCCATGGTTTGTTTATTTTCAGGCCTCCATACCAAGGACAGCTGTACCTCTCTTAACCTACTACTTGGTTTGTTATCTTAGGAACTCAGCAAGTTCTATGACATTTAAATCCATTGTTAAGAAATGTGGAGCTAAAACTGCAGCACACTATGATTCAGTGTACAGGTCTTTATGGCACATATTTGGGTGTAAGAATTACCCGGAATCCATCATATTGATTTATTTGTATTTTCTCTTTTCTTTAATTTTATCTTTTATTATCATACCTTACTGGGCAAATATATTTTAGCGACCTTAAGTTCCTTTTGTGGAATGAAGGAAGGTCCAAATAATTAATGTCAATAATAGAACCAAAAGTGTCACCTGGAAGTTACCTTAATTTAAAAATATTGTCATTACAGACATAGATATGTAGGTATGTGTATAGAAATTGATACAGATTCTGCAACATTTGCTAAAAATTCTTGTAGAAACAAGAAGCATAAAACCTAGATCAGTTTCTACTCTGAGACACAGACAGAATCTATTTTGTAGAAAATGAATGTGTATTTATCTACTTATTGGTGTAATGTGTTCCATAAAAATGAAATATTTTTAATTTCTAATAAACCATGAGCAAGAGCAATTATACTCCAAGATAACTGTGTAAAATGATGAAAGTGGAGGATATAGAAAAGATTTCATTTCTTCAAATAGTACATTGTTACTATTTTTAAAGCTGGGAATATATTTCAAATAGTAGTCTCAACTTAATTACTTTTAAGAAAACAACTACTGTAAACTTAAGCCTCTTATATGACAACAGTTAATATTTTGAATGTACTTCACAGTAAGTAATATCAATGCTTTATTTGACTTTGATTTAAAAATATCTGAATGAGAAATGGCATAATGGACTATAGACTCAAATCTCCATTCCATCTTTCTCTGCCTGTGTGACCTCATGGAAGTCCCTAACCACAGTAGATTATTATGAGAATTCAGTGAGTTAACATAGGGGAAATACTTAGAACAGAACCTGGAAAATAGGCAGCATTATAGAAGCGTTAGTTGTTGCTGTGTTGTTGTTGTTGTTTGTCATTGTCTTCATCATCTAAAAGATGTAGAAACTGTCTTTGCTAGGGTTTTTCTCAAGTGCCACCAGAAGCTTAACAGACTAGGTAACTAATTTAGTTCTAGTGATAATGACTGAGGTTGGTGATATTGGTCTGTTGGCTTTAAGAACATCCTACTGATGTTATCATAATGAGGCAAAGGATACCTTCCTTTGTATTCAAAAGGCACACCCAAACAACTAACAATCCCAAGTTCACGTGAAGGACAGTCAGACTGGCCTGTGAGCCAGAGTGTCCTTGACATCTATTCCATTCCCCAACTGTTTCACATTCTCACCACCAGTGACACAGAAAGGTAAAGCTTGACTAGGCCTTCTTGGCCTTGGCAGTTCAGGTCTCTTCTCTGAGCAAGGAAGTGGCTTTCAAGAGCCTTCAAACCAACTTCTGGATGCCAAACTATTCCCCCCAGCAAGGCCTTTTCCAGGCTCTCAGGAGTCATCCAGAAGTCCTTACTTCTTCTAGGCATGTTGGCCATACGTATAATTAAAAAGCAAGCAACGAACAAAAATTGGCATCAGACAAACCAAAGTCCTCTACTCCTCAGTTCCACCACTCAATAACCAATGACTTTTGCTATTTCCTTGCACTTTCTGAGCTTCAGTTTTCTTAGCTATAAAGTTGAAGTAATGGTTAGAAAAAAAATTGTTTATACCTGGCTTATCTTGTTGTGATGGTCTCAGGCAGAAACCAACCATTTCATGTTGTCTTCTGCTTTGTGGCCCAAATCATCTTGGAAACCCTGACTCCAAGGGTTTTTCAAATGTCAAGGTGACATATTTTGGGATAGCTTATTTTAAACCTCATCATTATCTAATGAACATTTTTAAAACCCAAGGATATCTTACCAGTTCGTTTTTCTGAAATTGAGAAAGGCAAAATCAAGAAGAGCTGCTACAAGAATATATATAAGATAATCTTATCATTGCTATAGGGCTCAACTAAATAATCCAAGCTTAAATCAGTGCTAAATTTACCTCATAGCCATGGGCAGACCAGCTTTTAGTAGATAGAGACTGACTCAAGGAATCTTAACTGTGTACACTGTTACTAGTTGAGATCCCAGTCTGTTGCAAAGAGAGTCTGACCAAATTTCAGTACAAAATCCACCTGAGAAAACCGGTATCTAAAGACTATTAGGAAGGGCACTTATAAGGGCTGGCGTAATTACACTTAATTGTAGGATGGTCTTGGTAGAGATTTCTCAGAATTTGTAAATTAGGGAGCTGCTGGAAGTGTTAGTAGTTACATTTTTAGAACATAAGTCCGTACAGAGTTACTATTAGGTCAGCTTTTCTGTGGTCTTATCTACAACATATGAGCCTGAAAAAAATCAGTGTTAAAAAAGTTTGAATATAGATCATCTGTGATGCACATCTTGTCTGGGTCTGGTGAAGTTTATCTGTTTTGCAAGTAAGGTACATTTTCAAGTTATGGTTTTGCTTTAGGTTTTCACCTCTTCTTTTGGATAAAGCATTTTTAAAAATATTTGACATTCTTGATAGCTAGTTATTGAAACTGGCCCAACTGGCCCATAGAACTGATGTTAACAGTTTTTGAATAAACATAGAAATTGACCCTCCCTGGTGTTAAAACTTGAAACTTACATTTATCTTATTGGAGTTGCTTCCTCAGGAAACTGACCCTCAGGCAAGGAACTAAAACACCAGATCACCGTGACCAGAAAATGAGATGCCAGATCTCTAATCCATCATGACTTTATGTAGCTACATTCCTTTGCTGCTTTATAAACTCCCAATTTTAATCAGTTGAGAGAGATGGATTTGAGACTGATCGCCTCTCTCTCTAGCTGATGTCACCTGAATAAAAAGCCTTCTTCCCTGGCAATACTCATTGTTTCAGTGATTGGCTTTCTGTGCAGGAAGCAACAGGGTCCTCCCCTGGTACTTCAGTAACAGATTTTGGTTTCCTGACTGGGAATGTGTTGCTCACAGTTCACTGGCCACAGGCCAGAAGAGTTTCAGAAGACCTCCTAGGCAGCTGCCTGTCTTTGTTTTTTTGGCCAAAGGTAAGTTTCAGTCTTTCTCTCTCTGGCCCACCATTGCCAGCCCCAGCCATCATCCTGATTGCCTAGGAAGAATCACCCTTGAAAACTGACATCTGGGGAGGCTGAGGCAAGAGAATTGTGTGAACCCAGGAGGCGGAGCTTGCAGTGAGCCGAGATTGCGTCACTGCACTCCAGCCTGGGTGACAGAGCAAGACTCTGTCAAAAAAAAAAAAAAAAGAAAGAAAGGAAGGAAGGAAGAAAGAAAGAGAAAGAAAGAAAGAAAGAAGAAAGAAAGAAAGAAAGAAAGAAAGAAAGAAAGAAAGAAAGAAAGAAAGAAAGAAAGAAAGAAAGAAAGAAAGAAAGAAAAGGAAGAAAGAAAAAATTGACGTCTGTCTCTGGACAGATAAGTGTCTTTTGTGGGTAGCTGACAGCAAATATGGCTCCTCTAGATTTGAGGAATCTATTTGCAGGTTGAACAAGCCTAACCAATGAAGAGAGGAAAGCTCCCTGTCTCAGTTTGGACACTCTTGAGGCTTGTTAATAATTGCTTATTTGTGTCTGTATGTGCACATCTGCATCTGGACAAGTGAGTGTCTTCTGTGAGTCCAAAAAGCAGGAACTGCTCCTCTTGATTTGGGGAATTCTGAAGGAATTTCCATTTGAGGTTGAACAAGCCAAGCAGCTGAGAGAGGAAAGCACCCTGACTCAGTCTGGACACTCTTGGGGCTTGTTGATCACTGCTGCAGTTGGATTGTGTCTTGGTGACTGCTTATGTGTATGTCAATGCAGACATGGGAGGCTGGGGTTCGATCCCAGAGTGCAGCCCACTTGGGTGCATTTCAGGGTTGGTCTGAAGGTAGTTGTGGGCCAATGGAGTAAGGGAAAATCTATGGCCATACCACCCGGAATGTGCCTGACTTTACCCAATCTTGGAAAGTCTTTGAATTGTAGTACTGTCCTTAATGGGAAAGCAGGATATAGTTCCTTGCATCCAGGCTTTTATGCTGCTGTTCTAAGCAGGGTCAGGCCTAGTTATTACATGATGTTCTGCGTTGCTGTTTGGCCCTAGTATTCTTTGGAGTGTGAAGAAACTTGGCCTTTAAAAATTAAACTTCTATGAAAACTGCTTTACCCAAAATCTTGGCTCACAGCCTTCATTGGATTACCTATTAGGGCAAAGTTTAGCCATGTGAACATATTCATAACTCACGGCTAGAATTCCAAGGTAAAAGCTATTGGATCTTTCTTTGTAAGTGGGTACATGTGTCTAAATGTCATGTGTTGTTTTTACAGAGTACCAAATTGGCTTTTAAATAAAGGAGTACTCTGGCCAGGCATGGTGGCTCACTCCTGTAATCTCAGCACTTTGGGAGGCTGAGGCAGGCAGATCACTTGAGCCCAGGAGTTCAAGACCAGCCTTGCCAACATGCCGAAACTGCATCTCTACAGAAAATGTAAAAATCAGCTGGGCATGGTGGTGCAAGCTGTACTCCCAAGTACTTGGGAGGCTGGGGTAGGAGGATCACTTGAGCCCAGGAGGTAGAAGTTGCAGTAAGCTGAGATTGCACCACTGCACTCCAGCCTGGTTGACAGAGTAAGACCCTGTCTCAAAAAAATAATAATAATACACATATAAACAAATGAGCACTCATAAATTAAGTAAATAAGTTTAAGCATTTTCAAGTTACTGCGAATTAAGTGAATCCTTAATAAACACGTTGGCTTTAAAATTACTGGTAAAATCAAAATAGAAATGTCTTCAGAATTATCAGCATACCTTTTTGTATGGGTTTTATATTTCTCTCTGCTTGGTATTTAAACTATGGTTTGGCACAAAAGGTTATAAGACTATAAACCCAGTCATGGACAGAATGATCTTTGTGTGATTTTTTTTAATAAATAAGGCTAATTTAATATTGTTAGTGTAATTTTCAAAAACAGTTGAATCTGGGTTATTGGGAAAATATCCATGTATTTAAACTTCTTACTGAGATGAACACCTGATACTCACAGGTTATAAAAATGGTTAACAAGGAAATGATAACTAGCTTTGTCTAATATCTCAGTTCTCATAAGTAACCTAGATAAACTGCTAAAATGAATGAAATGTAAAGAGGATAAATGTTATAGGTAAACTCTTTATGTAATTTAAAATATTGAAATTATTTTGGATGCTCATTAGATGTCTGTGTCATTCTAAGTAAGAAAGGATTATGATATGGGGAAACAGGTTGTTTTTCAAATAGTGGAATGTTTTCATCTATAAAACGCTAATATCTGATAGTTCAGGTTTTTTCTTCCTAGATTTTCACTAAAATTTAAAGTTACTAAGCACAAGAATTCTAAGTAATATATAATTCTGTATATAAAATGTGCCATAAAAGATATGCTTTTATTGAGAAAAAGAATAATTTTCTTTAATTCAGAAGTTATCTAAAGATTAATTCAAATTATGGACTTGGAAGGTTATGTATGAAACAAGGTAGAAAGGAACCAGTAAGTAGAGGAGAGAGATGTAAAAAAGATTGGTCCCCTGTATTAGAACAAGGTTTCTTTAAAATTTTGCCTTGCTGTTACTAAAACTACAAGAGGTTTTGATTTTGATGCTATAACCACTTTTTGAAAACTTATCAGATTCGTATCTCAGAAGTGGAACTCTGTTGTGCCTTGCTATTTTAGCTGTTTCGTCCCCTTGCAAAGGCCTGAGATAATAGCCCTCTCCTTCAACTTTTTCACCAGCTCCTGTAATTTTTTTCCTCTGGTTCTAACCACAGTTGTGTCTGGAATGTTTATCTTAAAGGATTAGAAAGCAATGCTTTCCTCCAGTATAACTTGATGCTGTACTCTTGGCTTTTCTTGATAACGTCTGAATTGCTCCACGTAACCAGAAAACTTCTCATGCTGTTCCCCTGCTCAAGGTACCAGTTTTCTAGTTTCTTGTTTCCTCTGTAATATAATGTTCACTCATGACTCTGAACACATGCCTCCTGTGTCTGATCAATTCCAGTACCCTTTTCATCAGGTTATCTAAATGGGCTTCCTATAAGGAGAAGCAATCACACTGCAGAAGATCTTTCTTTGCCTTTTGGTAACTAGCCTAAGAAACAGATTTTACATTTCATCAAGATAATTTCTATGTCATTGTTATTAGCTTTTTGATTGCTTAAAAAAACTGAGATTTAAAAGAATTAAGGCTTTTACAAACATGAAACTTTCTGTATTGCTTTTAAAGTCCTTGTGCCATTAAGTTACAGAGCTTTCACTCCTGGATCTGAAAATGGCACCAACTCCTACTAAATCTTGAACATTGACACCAGTCAAAACCTCGTCTTCAGACCCAGGAGAAGGTGACAATCAAAGTGAACTGCTTTCATGAGACACAGGGCCAGAAACAAACTACTGAATCCCTCTAGGCTCAGGACTATCATAGAAGAAAGAGGTATGAGATTGTAAGGGCCAATTTTGAGGAATAAAATCTGTTAAGGGTTTTTCTATAAATTAAATGTTAATATCAAGAACACGCTGATGCAAGGCCAGAATCTAGGCCCCTGTGTTAGAATAATGTATGTTACATTAACCTTTGCTTCCTGGGTGGCCATGGTATGGAGCTGCAACTGTGCTGCATTCAGTTATTAAAGGTAAAGTTACCAGTGAAATTTAGATATGAATTCAACTCCTGGGGAGTTGGTTCCCTGGATGTAAAAGGAAGTACAAACTAATAAGGAAAAAGCAAAATATTGAATCCCTTTGTTACTGTTATCTATAATAGCTACAATGGAAGTAAGAGAGTGCTGGGTTGGGTCTGGAGTCTGGACCAGGCTCAGATGTGGGTCTGTCTGAGCTCAGATCACTAGCCTCAAAGCTACCACAAAAGGGGAGAATATGCCAACGTACTAAAATTACCTCTGAAATCTGTGATTTCCAAGAAGGTAGTCAATGTGGGGGGAAGGGCAAAACAGAGTAGAGAGTAACTATTACAACCAGAAGGTATAATGTGAAGAAATTATTCCATTTTGTAGATTGGTATCATCAGTTTCCTAAGAAATCCTTACTAAAATCAATTGTGAGAGTAACTAATTTGGGAGCAATGTCTTTTAAATGCAGCAGAGTGGAAGAGCATGTTTTGGTGGATGCAGGATCCATAGCTCACAATTGAGCAATCACAGATGGATGTATATGTAAACTAGACACATGGGACATTATTCCCAAGAGAACAGCCAGCCTTTTGGACTGGGTAAAAGCCACTATAAGAGCTGCTTGCCCTCAGAAAAAGAACTGCTCGATTTCACCTATCAATGACAAGTGAAGCACCTCAGATGAAGCAGCTGGTGTGCTTTTGTATGCAAACCATGGGAGACTGGCTGTATAATGACAGGAATATTAAACTTACTTTTCGGCTTTTGGTTTTGGGCTTCTTTGTTACTTAAAGGGCTTTAAGGGTTAATGAGTGCCTGTCCACTTCCATTTCTGTCAGGACTAGAACATTTAATTGGCTATAAGTCTTCTGACTCTAAGTTCTTTGGCCATAGGGTTCCCACTGAGGGACAGGATGGACCCAGGGCACATAGCCACACCACCCCAGCAACAATATAGGACAAAATAAAAGTTTGGACATGGATGCTGCCTCTGGCATGCATTGACAAAAAGGGGCCAAACTAAAAATAGAGTCCTAAGTCCCCCATCTGACTAACTGGACCTACTTTTGGCCAAGGAGACCCCCATTGCCAAAAGACAAATTTTATCTGGGAAAAAAGCTTGCTTTTTGCCCTGCTGAGGATCTGAGTAGCCCTCATAAGTGGGTTGGCTCTTATCCCCTTTGAAATGTGTGAGGACCATTTCACCAGACTCCCTGTCACTTGAGGATTGTTTCTCTTCTGAAACAGAAGCTAGATCCTATGTAAAACAATAAGGAAATATACCAACTAGTCTCTCAGAGTTTTTTTCCAACAGGCTCCAGTTCCCTATAGAAGTGCCTCTCCACTCTCTGAAAATGCAGACCATGTCCAAGACCTAGAAATTACACCAGGGTGATGACCAGCTGCAACCACATGGGTCAGCTCTTTTGAGGTGTTGCTGACCACTCACTCATCTGTTCTGTTAGCTGGTGTTAAGCCATGGATTCATCATACTCAAGTAAAACTAGTGCCTCTGGGATTCATCATACTCAGATACAACCAGTGCCTCTGGGACCCTTCCAGGGGTAACAGTTATGGTTTTCTGAAACCTTAGACAGCCTTGAGTTGATATTCAAAACCCAGCCAAAGACCGTAGATGTGAAACCATAAAGTGAACATGCACTTTTCAGACTGTTATTGCTCTCCAAAAAAAGACATCTTTTTGCATGCAGGATGTAATGAATCAGGAAGACCTTTGGTAGGTTTAGGATTATTCTCTTGGACTCCCCAGGAGATCCACTCTATATTCTCTGGTATTTTTAAATTTGATTTATCTATGTTATTAATCATCTGAGTTTCTAAAACCATTAATAGAAGTACCCAGATCCTGGTGCTCCAACAAGCCAGATGCCAACCAGGTACTCATGAGTACTTTCAATTGCAGATGTGATGTTTTCATTCCTCATCATTATCCCACAGTGCTCCTCTTCAGCATGAAGCAACCAGGAGGATCAATGATCAGGTTCCATATGATTGAGGGGTTGATAAATAGAGGGGACTGAAATTGGCCAAATTGGCCCAAAAAACTGATGTTTACAGTTTTTAAAATAAATATAGAAATTGGCCCTCTCTGATGTTGAAACGTGAAACTTACATTTGTCTTACTTGAGTTCCTTCCTCAGGAAACTGACCCTCAGGCAAGGAACTGAAACACCGGATCACCCATCCAATGAGATACCAGAGCCTTCATATGGCATGATTGCTGCTTTACCCATTCCTGATTTCTGTTTTCCCACATGTAGCTACATTCCTTCCCTGCTATAGGAACCCCCAATTTTAGTTGGTTGGGAGAGGCGGATTTGAGACTGATCTCCCAACTTTCTGGCTGACGTCACCTGAATAAAAAGCCTTCTTCCCTGGCAGGACTTATTCTCTCAGAGACTGGCTTTCTGTGCAGCAAGGAGCAAGACCAAGACCAATGTTGCCTGGCATTCTGATAACATTGCTGTCCAGTTTTACAAGTGAGAAGACTGAGGCTCAAAGAGGTTGCACACCAGGCACAGTGCCAGAGCCAGCGTTCACACAAGGGTCTGTCTTCAAAACTTATAGTTTTTCCACTAAACTGGGCATTCCCCTGGATTTTGAACCCTGTCTCTGCTACCTATTAACCCTTACTGGTAACAGGGTTTATATTTTTCACTGGAGACATACTCTTTCTTCATGGTGTGTGATCCTGGTGGGATGGTCAGTCAGGGTATCCTGGCACCCCTGCCAAGAAAAGTTGAAGCAGATCCTTCCCAAGTGTCCCTTTATTCCTTCTACCTGGGTCCTTGGGGCTTCCCTTATTTCTGCCTTGTCTGAGACTCGTCTGGATTTTTTTTTTCCTTTGATATGAGCCATCTTACATATTTCTAGTAAATTCTATTCTTAGTTAAGTCATCCAGAGTCTGTTTCTATTGCTCATAAAATTCCTAATTACAACAGTTGTAGTACACACCTCATGGAGGCAGTGGGAAGACTAAATGACATTTTCTTTACATAGCAGTTAGCTCAATACCTAGTACACAGTAAGTGCTCAATAAATATCAGTTGCTCTTACTACCACTACTGCTAATAATAATAACTATGAATACTATAGTATAAGACAGATTTGGCCAGGGGTGGTGGCTCACGCCTGTAATCCCAGCACTTTGGGAGGCTGAGCTGGGCGGATCACAAGGTCAGGAGATCGAGACCATCCTGGCTAACATGGTGAAACCCTGTCTCTACTAAAAATACAAACAATTAGCCAGGTGTGGTGGCAGGCCCCTGTACTCCCAGCTACTCGGGAGGCTGAGGCAGGAGAATGGTGTGAACCCGGGAGGTGGAGGTTGCAGTGAGCCGAGATCGCGCCACTGCACTCCAGCCTGGGCTACACAGCAAGACTCCGTCTCAAAAAAAAAAAAAGGCAGATTTAGCAGCCCCCAATAAAGAAACGTGGTCGTCTGTTTCTGATCAAGTACTGTAATTACAGCACTACATGAATTAAAAATCTAATATAAGGATTATTTCTTTGCTGTACTGCACCTCTTTGAGAGAATGGTGATCCCATTTATTTGTGGGTTTATATGGATCTATAGCCTCAAATAAGTCATTTCAATATTCCCAAGTACTATTACTACACAGTTCACTATTTAATAACTAGGTGCATGGTTATACTATTTAATAGTTGGCGAGGTAACTAGCTGATAGAAAGAGACTAATCGGGTTGCCTTACTATAACAATATGAAGAAAAACTGAGAGAAAGAAAACTGCCCACCAAAAACTCTTCCGTAAGGCAGAAAAGTAGTTCAGGTGAGCAATTACATTTACCAGCCTTCCTTGCATTCAGGGGTGATCGTTTGACTAGATCTTGCTAACGGAATGTGAGTAAAAGTAATGTGTATCAATTCTGGTGTGCCTTCTCCTCATAGCCTTCCCACTTCCACCGGCCTCATGAAAAGGACTTTAAGACCCTAGGATATGGTAGAACCAGAAGACAGAAAGAGCCTGGGTCCCCATGTTACCACATGGAGGAAAGCTATCTGCCTACTAACCAGGAAAACCCACTGTATTACACAGCTGAAATTTTGTGGCTAATTTGCTGCACCAGCTATTACTCTAACAAATACAAAAGTTTAATTCCTAATTTACACATAATTACAAATCTTTCTCTAACATAGCCATAATTTAGAACAAGATATAAAGGAATGGTGCTCAACAGCAAATGTTAAGAAATTCCTGAGTAAGCTTCATACATGATTATTATAATCAGCTGACTCCAACAATGTGATTCTTAGAGACAAATGGTTCTTTATTTTTTCCCACACATTGAGAACTATGATAAATTCCTAGATATAATAGTGAGTATCCAATAAAATGACAAAAAGATAATATCAATGCCTCTTAGGAAGAAGAGGGGAGATATAGCTTGCTCCCCATGACAGTTCAATTGAGAATCCTTTCTTGGCCCAAGTATATTTTTCCTCAATCTATTCTAAACAATCAAAAACGTGTCTAAGAAATATGTATCACAGCAGTACATCAGAGCAGCTTTGCTTCAAAAAGCCTATAGGCTGCCTTGTTTTGGCCTATACCCGTTTGCTTAAATTTTTCAGAAAGGAATAATTCTTTTTGGACATATTTCTATTTAACAATTGCAACATCCCTCCCTTTGGTATCTTTTCAGTTTTCATTTCAAACCATTTATTTGAATCCAGGACTATGAGAACCCCCTGACCATCTTCCTCCAGTCAAAACATTTCCTCAACATCTGCTTTTACTAATTTGCTAAACTTGTCTCCAGCCTCTGAACTTCAAAGAATCATATAAAAATATTTACTGAATTCTTTTAGATGATCCTTTAAGAGGTGAATATTGATTGGACTGAGTCCTTTCTTTCCTAAATCTGCATTTTAGACACATTTTAGAAATGCATTTTAGACACATTTAAATAGTTTTCACATTTAAATAGTTTTCAAACAGACAAAAAGTGGTTTCCTCACATTATGCAACAAAAACTTTAGGTAAAGTAAAATTCTTGTTAATTAGAAAAAGGAATGGACCCATGGAAGAATTCAGGATGTAATGCAAGTAAATATTAGTAGTTAATTATTCTGTTTTTTTTTGTTTTTTTTTTTGGCAGGGTGGTGTTTTGTTTTGTTTTGATGAAAGGATTTAAGGCATGAGCTTTATTTGTTTAATTGCATGTTACTCAGTTTACTGGAAATTCCTGAATGTTTTATAAACTAGAAGGCAGCAGGACATCATAAAGGATATTAATAGTGTATATATCAAAAAAATTCACATTATTTCCCGGGAAAGGAAAGGGTGGCATTGATAACAAAGGCAAGCAGCACTCACCGAATCACAGGCTTTCATTCATTTCCACAGGTAATGCTATGGCAGCTTTCCACTCTGTTTATCTCTGCTGAATGTAAATGCAGTTTAATAAGCATTTTGAGTGTCTACTATATAGAAGGCCATGGATATTAAAAGATGAGAAAGTCATGTTCTCAGCCTTCAAGGGGTTTCTGGTCCAGGCAAATAGATGCAATAAAAGGAATTAAATTTAGGGTGATGAAAAAGTTCTGGAGATGAATAGTGGTGATTGCTGCACAATAGTATGAATGTACTTGAGGCCACTGTACTATGCACCAGAAAATGGTTGAGATGGTAGATTTTATGTTATGTATATTTTATCACACACACAAAAAGAAGGAATTAGAAACTCTCTCCTCTCCTTCTTCTGTCAGAGAAAGATGAATCAAAATAAATCAAGTGGCACCAGCACCATTCCTTGGGCAAGAGAATTAGAAGCCAATGTGTGTGTTTTTCCCATTTGGGATGCTGTCAGGTCTAGGCAGATGGTAAACACTCAAAGGCATCTCAGCACCATCACAGGCTGCGTATTGTTCCTGAAGGACAAAGTCAGAGTCATGCCAGGGGGTAATGTTCTTTCCTGGAAATGTACTGACTACAGTGTCTCTGAGGAAAATTAACTAATGATTTTGAAAAGTGTACCCTCTTTAGAGATGACCCAGTAAAGGCAGCTGCTGGGCTTCAGCTCCCACAGAAGGGCAGGGCCAGCTTCCTGGGCATGAGACCAGTGCAGTCACACAGGATGCCATGCTGAGAAGGGCTCCTGTTTAGGGCTCTGCTGCCACTATCTCAAAATTGTTAATAATTTTTTTAACAAGAGGTTTAACATTATCATTTTACACCAGGCCCAGAAAATTAGGTAGGTAGCAAGTCCTGCAGAGGTGGAAGGACACAGCCCCTTTCTGTCCAGAGCCTTCATGAAGGGCAGAGAAGGGTAATGCTCAGAAGGATGCAGCCTCAGACATTTTGCAACATAGGAGAAGCCAAAAGAAACCCAGAGAGAGAAATCTCCCATGGAAGGGAATAGAGTTGTCTTCTAGACCAAGACACCAAAAAATGGGATTGCATAATGTGTGTGTGTGTGTGTGTGTGTGTGTGTGTGCGTGTCTGTGTGTGTGTGTCTGTGTGGCAGGGTATGAGCCCAGTCAGGGGTACAGGCAGCATCCACATCACTAATTTGAAATGCCTTCCCTTAGGAAGTTCCCAGTTAACTAGAACTTTGACCTCTATAAAACCTTTCTTAGAATACTCAAACCTTCAAAAAAGATCTTATATACTGACATTAAAGTAAGTCATGTGGGTCTGGTGAAGGCTAATGGAGCTTTCCTTCTGAGCTCCGGTGTAGAAAGGCATTGTTGCTGACCTTCCTGTCTACTCACACTCCAGGCCTGCAAGAGGCCTTCTGCAGTAATGGAGACTCCCTAATGTAGGAGGGACCCAAGACGCTCCGAACTTCATGACTCACCCATCCCATGTGACGATTTCCCCATAAGAAGAAGGAAGGACTCTAAGACCCCCAGTGTTGTGTTGACATATAGATTATGGCATTATTATACAGTATAATTATGATTTCTTCTTGTGCTGTTTGAAATTTTTTATCATAGATATTTGTGAATGGCTTATTGAACCCTGTCAACTCACTGGGATATAAAGGTGACTTTTTTTGGCAGTAGCTATTCCTAGATGTCTTATATAAGTAATGCCTTCCTTCATATAATCTTGACCCAGTTCCATAAGTTTTAAGACACTCTGACTTATACAAACAGTACCCTTTCTGTTTCCATGATTTAGTCCTATTTATTTAAAAAACTTCAGTAACACATCTGATTCAAATCTCTTCTCTCTACTCCCACCCCAGCCCCAAGCATACGCAAGAGCTTTGATTTTACTCCTCTGAAGTGGAGGGTTTGACTTCCACACCTCTCCTCTCCTCTTCCTCTACCCACTGTTGCTTGCTACCCTGTCAGGGTGTGGCTGAGGGAGCAAGAAAGGAACAAAAACTACCCTCCTGACTGGGCCGGTCTTGACTGATTTGTTGCAGTCTTGCCTTAGTTTGGTAGTATTAATTGCTGTTTTCACTCATTGTATATACACTCAGGGCAGTTGGTATGGATGGCTGGTTACTCCAACATGGCCCACTGGTAAAAAGCTCACTACCCACATCTGATTTTCCCCAATTCCCTGGCAAAGCAGACATCCCAAAAAGAAATAAAAATGATAGTTACCCTTTTGGAAGGTTGCCCTCCCAACCCTTTTTTTTTTTTAATGGAAATTCTTTCAGGACCTCCTCTTATCCTTGGGGAAAGAAAGCATCTTCTCTCCAAAATGTGAGTGAGGGGATAGACTTTCTTCTTGTGTTGACAGTGTGGAAGGAGGGTGGTTGGTTGTAGAGCTGGTTTCTGTATTTGTTTCCATCTTAAGCCTGAGGAGTGGTAGCTGAACCACCTGTTGGCTTTGCTTTGAACTAAAAATGTGGGATTTAGCCATTATTCTGGTACAATCTGACAGCTTATTTGTTAACACTTGTATTTTCTTTATTAAAAATAAAAAATTATAATAACATATGGCCTATGAAAATATGGTATAGGTATACACAGAGAACACTTTCATAGAACAGCAAAGGGCTACTTCCCCAATCCTACAAAAGGAAGGATCATGAACAATTTGCTAAAGAAGAGAAAGTCTTACCTAAATCATAATCGGAAAGTAGAAATTATCCTACTGGAAATGAAGAGGTAGAGGAAGGTTAATCAACCTTGGCAATATTGACATTTGGGCCAGATAATTCTTTGTTATGGAAGGGTGACATTCTTGGACTCTATGCACTATGTGCCAGTAGCACCCCTCCCCAAGTTATGACAAACAAAAATGTCTGCAGATGTTGCCAACTGTCTCTTCAAGGGACAAAATTGTCCCTGGTTGAAAATCACTGGGGTAGAGTTTTATAGGTAGAGGAAAAAATTGTAACCAAAGGCACCAGGTATGGAACAGCATGATATTTCTGAAAACTACACATAGTTCTATATTACTCAAGTACAAAGTGCAATGCCGGGCATAATGGGAGATAGCAATGACAAATATGGAAGCCTGATAATGGAACATCTGGTCGGGATTGCAGATGTTATGGAATGGCATCCCTATGGTGATGGTAAGTCTCAGAAAGGGAATGACACAGTCAGATTTGAATTTCAGACAGATGGTAAGAGGATATGGGAAGAGTAAGACTTTTGGCAGCTGGACCACTCAGGAGCTATGTCAGAAATCAAGATAGAGATGAGAAAATGCACCTGAACTGGAGGAGTGGAAGGAGGGACAGGGAGGGGCTGAATTGTATGTAGGAAGCCTGGGTGGATGGTCCCACAGCTGAAGAAAAGAGAAGACAGAAGGATGGGCTTTCACCTTCCTTGCTGGGAAGAAAAAAGTTTGGAAGGGTTGAGTTGTGGGTGTCTTCTTGTTGGTTAGTTTAAGAACTTAGCCTATGGAAATCTATTTCATCTTCATAGTTTTCTGAATTTTCCAATTCAGAATTCAAATTTTCTGGGAATTCAAATGACAAAGACACTTAGATTTTGATCCCTATCACCTTAGGTAATTTATTCAACACACAAAGCATCACAAACAACTCAGCTGTGCTTTGTCAAAACAGAATTCCTCATTTCAAATGCCATTGTGACAATACTTGAACATTGGTCAAACTACCAATGAAAAGTTGTCATGGTTTTGATATTATCTCTGGAGGGCAATTAAAAAAAAAAAAACATGGGAGGGCCAACGTACCATAAGGAGAAGGATGTGGGTCCTTTCAAAGAAGCTGATACAAAAGGCTTTGCCCTAGGTTGGCACTTTATCCTAGAGAACATGGCTACAACCTCCCTTTGATACATTACAAATTAATTCCAATGGAAACTGATTTCTGAACAGGAAAATTATGGAACAATGGTATAGATATAAAAGCAAAGCAATGTTGTTGTAGAATAGATGAGCAAACATCATCAGCATTTTTAATGCCCTACACAGGGTGAATCTTTTATAAAGAGATTTGTCTCCTAAATAAACTTCATGGTAAGCAACCCAGAAAGTTAAGTTCCCTTATTAGCCTCTTTTTCTGTTCTTCTCAATGGCCCAGATCTTTTAAAGTGATAAGCAGCAGTTGATAAACAGCAGCTAAGGGAGGACAGGAAATGGGCAGAATTCAGCTCTAGTGACATAAATCTCCACATGCAAATCCCAATCCTGGATATGTGGCTACAACAGTGCCCCCAAATGACACAGAAAAGCATTTGTCTGATTTCTTTATTTAAGTATATTTTTCATGTGTTACCATTATAAACACATAAAAAAGGATTTCATTTCCTACTTGACATATTCATTCCCAATGATTTGCATGTCCAAGTGAAGATCTGAAAACTCTCCAAACAACCCACAATAACATGAGAGGAGGAAGGAAATGAAGAAGGTAGGGGTTGAGGAGGGGTTCGGGGTTAAGAGCAATCTGCATTTCTTTTTATGTTCCGTACTTGTTTAACAGGCTATAATCAATATCACTACTGATTTTGTTCCAGCTAAGTTGCAAGCACAGCTGGTTTCAGCACTAGGAAAACTGACTACCAGATTAAAATATTATGTATAAGTTAATGTAAGAGTGCCTATATTTCTTAGGCATCTCTTAGTTAATGGCATCTGTGTTTCATTCTTGGTTGCCCATTGCAAATTGCTTCACTTTTCTATATAAGATAGTCCTAATCAGTAAAATGGGAATAATGTAGCCAGCACCATTCTGTGAGTATAGGCAGCATCTGATATTAAATTTGACCCCTTTATAAATACCTCTAGAGCAAAGGCAAAGTATGGTCCAAGGACCAGTGGCATCAACCTCATCTGGAAATCTACTAGAAATTCTGAATGACAAGCCCCACATGAGATTTTTGAAATGAATCAGAAATTGCATTTCAACAAGACACTTAAGTAATACTGATGGATCAAGGACCACGCTTTGAGTAGCAGTGCCCTAGAACCATGCTGCTGATCTGCAAAGTGTTCCTAGTCCATTACTAGATGAGTACAGAATTTGGGTGTAAGGAATTAAAACATTTATAGTCATTTGACCTTGTGGTCACATCCAAAGCACATACACAGTGAAGACTCATCTCCTTCGATAGGAATGGACCCGGGGAGGCTTCAGGCCTGATGTGGTCAGTTGGATGTGACACAAGTTGCTATCAGTCATGGACAACAGAACTACACATCGTCATGATGGATTTTTTAAAGGAAATGAAAGAGGGAAAGTAGCCTATCACAGTGTCTGAAAAGCACTACTCTAGAGCATGGGTCAGCAAATTTTTTCTATAAAGGGACAGATAATAAATCTCTTAAGCTCTGTAAGTCATAAGGCCTCTGTCACAACCATTCAGCTTCATCACTGTAAAATGGCAATGGGCCATATGTAAGGAAATGTGCATGACTGTGTTTCAATAAAACTTTACTTATCAAAATAGGTAGAGGGTCAGATTTGGCCCATGTCCTGTGCTGACTCCTAATTTAGAGGACCAGCGTTAGCCAAATACAATGCCACCAGAAGATTATGCTGAATCCACTTGATCCAATACAAACCCTTACCTTTAAGAACTAAGAAGGAGATAACACACCCATCCCCCATCCCCTACTTTTGTCAGTGATTTTCCCTACTTGCAGTGGCCATAGCAGAAACAGAAGCTTCTCTGCTCCTTGTGTTCCTGTAATAGTGGGAAATCAGCCAGGACGAGGCCAAACACACGTGGACAACCCTCAGCTACTATCCTAGCAAAACAAGAGGATGAAAAAGGAAATGTCCATAATGGAGAAGGAAAAAAATTAATTCTCCCTTTTTCTAGTTCAGGGTTCTGCAAACTATGGCCCATAAGTCAAATCCAGCCTGCTGCCTATTTTTGTGAAGAAAGTTTTATTAGAACAAAGCTATACCCATTCATCTATATATCACCCATGGCTACTTTTGAGCTAAAGTGGCAGAGTTGGGTAGCCGCAACTGAGACCTTATGGCCTGCAGAGCCTAAAATATTTATTATTTGGGTCTTTACAGAAAAGTTTGCCACCTCTGCTGTCGTTCCTCATGCCATGACTGGTAGCCCCTTGTTCTAGAGAGCTACCAACAAATGGATAAGATGTAGGTTTCTATGTTACCATTAATAGGACTGTTGCCAACTGCTTCCACTGGAAAAATCTTCCTCTGCTAAACAAACCGACACAGAAAGGGAGGCTTCTTGCTGAGTTTCTCTCAAGTTTCTTAATGGCTTTCAAGTTCCTTTTAAGTAGGTTATTTTACTGTTAAAAACTATATAGACAGAGTTACTTATTTATGAGGCAGTCTATTAGTCATGTAAAGGCAGGAATAACTTGGTGCCTTTTTACATTAAACTCATACAAAGAATATTAAAAGCCTTGACAAGCTAAAAGCTTGGCAGGGCAGACAACATCAACCTTGCATCTAGACCTCTGGAACAGTCCCAAAGTGGGTGAAGGGAGCAGGGAGAACAGTTGCCAAACAAACGGGGTCTCTTTTTTCCCAGAGAATTCAAGACTGTTTTTGTCAAAGCTTCAAAGAATAGAAAGCATATTAAATACATGGAGCAAACTTCAACAAACAAAACCTTCCGGCCTTTGAATTCATTGTAAGTAACACTCCTAACACGGCAAGAAAGTAGGCTGTGACGGTTTGGGTGAAAGCAGAAATCCACAAAAAAAGCTCTGTGTAACATGGTGTTAACAAAACACAGTTGTTTCACTTTAGAGAGTTGGAAAGAAGCAAGTGCTGTATCATTGACCAAATCTTCTGCAGTGGCTCCTTATAAATACTACTAGTGCCACCTTCTGGTCATCTGATTCTATGGCAGGCCTCCTGTCACAAGGCCTCACTTTCCCCAATCCAGCAAATGATGTGTATTGTACAATCATGGACTCCTACAAAAGAGATCTGCAGGGTTCTCTAGAGGTCGTTACAGATTACAGACCGCCCAGACCAAGCTGCACTTTTAAGATTTCATATACTTCAAGACAATGGTTTAGCCTCACTGGAAAAACCACGAACATTTCCACTCCTAATTCTTGGCTCCAAAAGCTTGAGAACTCTCTGTCAGCAAGAGAAATACAACTATGCAACTGAGATTTCACTCCCTCCCAGCTCTCCTCACATCCCCAGAGACAGCCAGGCAAAGGGCAAGTCACTGGAGAAGACAAGAAGTAAGTCACTATTTGGAGCCACTTTCCCCAGACAAGGAGGAAAGGAAGCCCAACACCACTCAGAATTTGGACCATGTTTCTTTAGCCAGGATGCCATGCCCGCCCTGGGAGTATTTTGGGGGCCAAAGAATGGTAGGAAAGCTTGTTGCTCTTCTGTTTTGTAACTCTTGCTGCAGAAATTTGATTAAATAAATAAGCAGAGGAAGCACCCAAAAACTGCTGGGCAAAGCCCTCCTACACAACGCAAGTATACAACCGACCTTATTCCTCCCAGAACAGGACCTCTCTATCCTCCCTGTCTTCAGGTTCAGTCTCACACATTGGATCGACAGAAGAGCAGGACTCAGCTGAGAGGCTTTGAGGAGGAAGACCAGGAAGGGAAGGCTTAAAGCATGACAGGGAGGTACAGCCCAGTGGGAAATACAGAAGGGCCTCAGGGGAAAGGGAGTTTAGCTTTCTCCACCTTGACAGAAATGCAGTCCTAGCCTCCCTGTGCTAAATCCTTTTGCTTCTGATTTGAAAAACATTCAGCTTCCTGAAAAGAAAAAGCTATCAGAGGCCTTTTCTTAATCCATCTTGCACATCCTCAGAGTTGATGTCAACAAGCCACAAAGGGAGTTCCTACCAGTCCTCCCTGGGCTGAGTAATGAGGGCAATGAGACAGGGCTAGTATGGTCCCGGATCCCCAGGGGAGGGAGCGGAAGGATGTTCATGGGGATCCTCTGGGCTCTGTCAGGAAGAGGGAGATCCTCTGAGGAGACAAGGCATTTGTCTCAACGAAAAATGGTTGTACTGGGGGTAAATGTCATACTTAATTAAGCCAACCAATGATAAAGGAAGCAAGCTGCCATCTCTTTGGAGTGTTTGAAAAACAGTATTTGGGCTTAGAAGATATTGTTATGATTTATAATTATAGCTTCAATTTATTGACAGACACTGTTTTCTTAAATCAGATTGGCATTTGTTACCTCTGTTTTACTGATAATGAAACTCAGAAATGTTCAAGGTCAAAGGGAACAGGGAAAAGAAAACCTAGCACTGTCTCCAAAGCCTGTACTCTGTCCACTCTGCTCCATGCCCCCCTTCTTTAGAGCAGGTGGTTTTCTCTCACAATATAAAGTCTAAAAATGAGCACCTGTATTGAGTTGTCTGCATTTCTGGAACAAAGAACCTGAAACATGGATTTCCACACTGGGAGAATTGCAGAAGTGTTCCTGTGGACAACTGACTCCTGACCTGTAAACTCCCAACTGAAACGGACCACGGGCTTAGGAGCTGGCTTTAGCAACAGCTCTTCTTGCAGCCAGAATAAAGCCACAGTAGCTATCCTCTGCCAAGAGTCTTAGTTCAAGCTGCATAGATTGGGTGGGTTATAAACAACAGAAATTTATTTCTTGCAGTTCTGGAAGCTAGAAATCTGAGATCAGGGTGCCAGCATGGTGAAGGGCCTCTTCCAGGTTGCAGACTGCTGACTTCTCATTGTATCCTTACATAGAAGAAACAGGGCAAGAGAGTTACCTGAAGTTCTTTTTATAATGACACTAATCTTGCTCATGAGTGCTGTACTCTCATGACCTAATTACCTCCCAAAGTCCCCATCTCCTAA
This sequence comes from Homo sapiens, assembly GCF_000001405.40. Classification (NCBI taxonomy): domain Eukaryota; kingdom Metazoa; phylum Chordata; class Mammalia; order Primates; family Hominidae; genus Homo; species Homo sapiens. Next base: position 118,794,199 of record NC_000005.10, read on the forward strand.
TACACTGCAGGTTACAATTTCAATGTGTAATTTTAGGAGGACACAAATATTCAGCCCATTGTACCAAGTTAGCGGGCTGAAAATGCACTGCTCATCTCAGCCCCACACAGTCATCATCTCATTGCCATCTTTTTCTGTGTCCTTCACTTTTTACCTGGACTTCACTAGGGTGAGAGAAGAGGTCATGATCTATAACAGGTAGTTGTTTTACCCTTGTCCCTGATACACAGTGTTATCAGCCACAGTTTTTCTACAGCAGACACCAGCAGCTCGATGATCCAGACAGATAAGAAACATCTCCACAGTGACCAGAGAAGACTCCAAAGACAGCACAAACACCCAGACAATAACTCATTACCATACACTGGCATCCTTGAGTCTGCCCTCGCTGATACCCATATAGCGCCTTAGGGAGCAGAAAGTGGAGGGGCAAATCCTTGGGAAAAAAAAAAGAAATATCCTTTTCTTGTAAGAAGTTTGAACCTTGAATTTAAATGAATACTTATCTGAAAGACACTTGAGCTAACCCAACAGAGTCTATTTAAAAACCAAAGAGGCCAAGTTATCAAGATACCAAGAACTGACAAGTTTTCGATTGATTTTTTTCTTGCTACTGAATGGAATATGGGATTGAGGACAAAATGAGAGCACTTATAAGAAATAAAGGATACTACCTTTTTATTTTGCATATTTAAGTTGTAATGTATAAATGTTGTCCGATTTTTACGTGTGTGTTTGTACGCATGTTTTATGTGAAATAGCTCCTTTTTGACAAGGTCAATCTGGATTTCAGTAAGGCATTTTTTTTTACGTTTCCCATCATGTCTTTGAGGACAAGATGGAGCAATGCAGGCCAGTTGGTAAAACACTTATGTGAACTCTCGTGCTGCCTATATTTTGTTCCTCTTTGGACACCAAATTTTCAGGGAGACATTAGCAAAGTGGATTTCCTGTAAGAGAATAACTGGTTTAATGAAGAATCTGGTAATCCGATCGAAGAAGGAATGGATATTTTATCTTGGAAAAATGAAGACTCTGGGTGAAGTAGGGTAAAGGGTATGCATCCGTGATAAAGTGGAATGAGTATCTCTGGGAGGCAACCAAGGTTCAAATCATGAATTTTTCTTTACTACAAAATGTCCTCCCCATACACTGTATGTATTATAACTCTATGGTTCTCCACAATATCTACAGGGCAGGTGAGCAGTGCAGGCTGCTGGGAGACACAGAGCCAGAGCTAGAGAAAAGGGGGTAGATAGCAAATGTAGGAAATGTGGGAGAAGAATCAGCAGCCCCAGGGAGGAGTTAATAGTCACAAAGTAAGTCCATATTCCACATATGCTATCTCTGGTGCAAGTCCAAATGGAAGGCAATAGGGTTCTATCACAAAGAAGTACAGAGAATGTGGCTTCAGAATGGTCAAGTGGGGCAGAGATGGTAAGACAGCCAAATCTGGTGCAGGGCTGTATCCAGGGAAATCAGTCCAGGAGATGGTGGCAATGGTCATAAACAGGCCCAACCCCTAGATATGAACCCAGAAGGAACACAGCTGGAAACCAATACCCAGCCATCCTGGTGATAAGGGAGATATCCATATCCCAAACACCGTACTAACAGAGCAAGACAGGGAGAAAGCCCATGAAGAAGGGGATTAGTCTGCCTCAGGGGAAATACAGAAAGCTGCCCCCTTGCTAGGCCTATTGGACCATGGACTTGCCTGAAATTCCAACTTAGTATGATAATTCCCTTGACTTAAATGTAAATGGACCTTAAGTCTTTCTTACCATAATGCCTGTAATCTCAGGAAAAATAGTTTATTAAACCATTTCAATGTATTAACACCTTAATGAGGCTAAGTTCCAGTAGTGGCACTCATTTCCAGTAGTGGCAGCTAGCTGGGATCCAAGTAGATTAGGAATCTGCTTTGTTTAGCTTAGATGACTGGCTGGGAGGGCCAAACGAGGGCATTATGCACTGCCTAGGGCGAGAAGACCTTTGCAGGCAGAGCAGAGCAAAAAGGAGCCCAGACTGCTGAGTGGCCTGAGAATCCTAGGTATCTGGGAGCCAGGACAGGTGGAGGATGAAGCCCAGGAAACAGGAGATTGGTAACAGAAGGGAATGTGTGAGGGCCCTGAAGGCAAACCTCATCTACATGACAGTTCAACTGAGAGCCAGGCCCACCCACTGCTGCTGTATTTCACATCTTTCTGACAACAGCAAAATGCACATGCATTCACTCAGCAAATTTATTCGATCATTTGAAAAATTGTTCTTAACAGAATAGCTGAAAGAAACCACTTGTTCATTCATGAAACATAGTCTCCAAGATTAGACAGCTTTTCTTGAGGTCCTTAAAACTAAAAAGTACACATTTGCCTTTTGCAAAATGCAAGGGCCAAACTCCCTCCACCTATTTTTCATACTCAGGACCCAGAAAGTAACTAGAAAATAAGGGGATGGAGGCAGATATCCAGCAAGCCAAACTAAATGCTCCAAAGTCAGTGTATTAAACATATGCACTGGAATTACATGTAAATCACTCAAGTTTTCCTTATCTTAAAAATATAAAACAACAGGGAAGCCCAGGAATCTCTTCAAATTAGGTATACTGATTGTTTTAAGAAGTAACAGTTATAAGACAAAAATAGAAAATATCATAAACCAAGTAGAAAGCTAACAACCTAGGGTCTTCGGTACAGAAGGAAAGAGCTCTAGTTGTATCAAAATCTTGAGGACATTGGAAGATTAAAGTTCACATTTCAGGCTCAGTTATTTAAAAAAGAATGAGATTAAATGATTGTAGGAATACTTACCTCCATTTAAGCCTAACAACCTTTACTATCTGCATCCCATATTGGTGCCCTTCTAGTAACTGAAATTATTTGGTGTCTTAGATTGTATCCCTGGACGGGCTAGAGTTAATAAAGTTAGGCCGGGGGCGGTGGCTCACGCCTATAATCTCAGCACTTTGGAGGCCGAGGCGGGCAGATCACGAGGTCAGGAAATCGAGACCATCCTGGCTAACACGGTAAAACTCCGTCTCTACTAAAAATACAAAAAAATTAGCCGGGCGTGGTGGGGGGCACCTGTTGTCCCAGCTACTCAAGAGGCTGAGGCAGGAGAATGGCATGAACCCGGGGGGCGGAGCTTGCAGTGAGCCGAGATCGTGCCACTGCACTCCAGCCTCAGTGACAGAGTAAGACTCTGTCTCAAATAAATAAATAAATAAATAAAAATAAAGTTAAACAATTACTTAACCCAAGTCCTGGACTGATGAGAGGCAAATAAGGTGCTATACTCAGAAAAAAAATAAGGAAAGGTTTAATATGCTATGCAAGTTCAGCTATGAATAAGACACAAGTATCTCTCAACAAATATGAAGAAAGAGAGTTTGTTGGCTGGGCGAGGTGGCTCACATCTGTAATCCCAAAACTTTGGGAGGCTGAGGCAGGAAGACTGCTTGAGCTCAGGTGTTCAAGACCAGTCTGAACAAGATGGCAAGACCCTGTTGTTACAAAAAAAAAAAAAAAAAAAAAAAATTAGCCAAGTGTGGTGGTGTGCATCTGTAGTCTCAGCTACTTGGGAGGCTGAGGCTGGAGGATAACTGGAGCCCAGGAGTTCAAGGCTGCAATGAGCCATGTTTGCACCACTACACTCCAGCATGGCTGACAGAGTGAGATCCTGTCTCAAACAATAATAATAATAATAATAATAATAATTTGCTGTAGAAATAATATGGTACAAAAAGATTCCAGAGGAAAAGGACTGGAATCACCAAACTGACCTAACTACAACAATCCCTCACTTTGAAGCCAAGGAGTAGAGTGCAGAGTGTGAGAGCACAGAAGCTCCTGACCAAATCCTGTAGTCAGGACCACTGGGTAAGGGTTTTATTCTAACTCACCTACCAAGACCTGACCCTGACTTAGGTATTTCCCAGAGAGAATGCTATTGTCTGCATGTTTGTATCCCCTCAAAATTCATATGATGAAATGCTAATCCCCAAGACAATGGTATTAGGAGGTAGGGCCTTCTGGAGGGCAATTAGGTCATGATGGCAGTCTTCACAAATGGGATTAATGCCCTTAAAAAATGAACCCAAGGGAGCTCATTTATCCTTCCCACCATGTAAGGATACAGTGAAAGGGAGCGATCTATCAACCAGGAAATGGGCCCATATCCAACACCAAACTTGCTGGCACATTGATCTTGAACTTCCCAGCCTCTAGAACTGTGAGTAATCCATGTTTGTTGTTTATAAGCCAGCTGGTGTAAGGGATTTTGTCCTTTGACTAAGAGAAGTAACACACACAGGTCTGAAAAGAGCTCATTCCACCCACAGTGGGTTCATACCAAAGACACACCAGCTCACAGAACACCATTTGTGAAAGGATTGCTGAGATTCCTAGGACTCAGACAGGGAGGAGACTATTTAGTATACTCTATCTCAATATACATTTTTAGAAAAGCCTGTATGTGGAGAATGTTCAATATATTGGTTTCAAAGGTGTCAACAGGGGAATTTGAAAATGATCAAGTACTGAGAAAGTACATTTTATTGACCAAGCTAGGCTTTTTACAAAATATTTTTCTCAATAAACTATCATGGAAAACAGGAAAATCATGTTTTAAAATAAGATACATTTTGGGACACTTGGTAGACATTGATCTTTCTCATTTCCATTATGCTGTCTTATGCCTTTGATTTTCATCTGAGAACTTATCCCTTGCTCTCTTACAGTCCACTGGATGCTTCAGGTCTCCAGCCCAGCCCCAGGAGAGAAGTCAGTGACCCAGACCTAAGTCAACCAGTGCACAGCATTTCCCCACATCAGAGTCAAGATGAAGAAGTGGGCATGACCTAAATCAGTTCAACCAGAATTAATCCCACAAGTTTTATAGGATCACCTGGAAAAGAGGCAGAGAGTAGTAAGTCTGTAAGGCTAGAACAGCTATAGCAATGCTACTGACCATGGGGAATTTAATCCAGATGAAGCAGAAATGAGAGATGGAGAGAAGAGAGTCCTGGTGATCCCATCTGAGCCCCTCCATCAAACATCCCTACTTGTATTTTTCACTTTCAACTGCCATTAAATACTCCTTTTGCTAAGCCCATTTTGGTTGGTTTTCTGTTACTAACCACTAAAATTACTGGCTATAATGATTTCAGATAAGTCAGATGTTACTATATGGAAATCAATATTTATCAAGCCAATATAAGCGTGTATCAATTAATACTTCTATCCCCAGATTCTATTTTCCTCTTATACTAAACTTCAGGAATTATGAATTCTTCCTGAACGTAAGACTACTATTTTTTGTAGCTGTAACCTAAAGCACATTGGACTATTCCTTCTTGTCTTCTTATAACCCCAAAATAGGAATTATAATTTCTTACTGAAATTTCCCTAAATTTTTTCTCACCAAAATTTAGTTAATTTTTCCCTAAAATTTCTTTACTATATTTCACTGAAATCTACTATGTAGTATTTTCTCTAGATGAAAACTTTCCCTGAAAATTGCAAGAAGTGAAAACATTGGCTTTGAAATGATAGATAATTCATAAACTATTCTTAAGGATTATTCTCAGGAATAATTATTTTGTCTGGCCTACATAACCCTAAATAGTGGTAAAATATACAGTAGTTTAAAACATGGTTAGGGGCCCAATCTAGAACAAAGAAAAACTGCCTGTGAGTAAAACAGTCAAACATGTTTTAGACATGTCTCGCATCCACCAGTGTGAGTCGAGTGCAAAGGGTTACTGTAAACTGACCAGGTATTAGCAGGTCATCTTCAAACCCACATCAACCCACCTCACCTCAGAGCCAGTTCTAGGACCCTCCACGGGTCAGCCTAATTTCCCTTGGCCCAGCCCAAGCTGGCTCTTTCTCTTTGCACAGCAATGCTCACACACCCTGGCCAAAAAAGCTTTCGAAGTATTTCTTTTTGAATGAGCATAAAGTGCCTATTGAGACCAAGAAAGCCTCCTTATTGTGGGGTTGACCTTACCACTGTGTCCACATTCCCCAGAGGTATGGACAGTAGCTACAGCTGAGGAAATGTCATTCAGCAGTTTTTTGCGTATGAAATTTGAGAAATTTGCATGATACATGTGGAGCCAATTGTTCATATCTAAGCATATTAGCTGTTTTTCTCCTGAGAACACAAAAAAGTTATTGAGAGTGAAAAGAAGTCCCATTGGAGGAGGGGAAACCTGAGGGGCCTCCCTGAGTACTATTCACTGCAGGCCTCATTTCATTCCCAATGACTTCTGTGGAAGCCAATTTAAAGAAGGTCACAGGTATTTACCTTTCTTCCCTGTCTGTTTCAATCTGTTTTATAGAGAAGGAGTGAAAATGCCAATGCCAATGCTCATTCTTGAGCCCTTGGTGCATTCGTTCTGCAGATTTTTTTAATACAAGGGTAGACTTTTAAAACAACAAAAGAAAATGTCATTGGAATAGACTTAAGCTTTACTTTGACTTAAGATAGATTTCATTCCTTGGCTTAGACTGGATTACATTCACCTAGTCCTGTCATTTCTTACTAAGGGAGGAGACCACCCCTCATAGTGTATTATGCCCAATTTCTGCCTCCAAAGAAAGAAGTAAAAACTAAAAGGCAGAAATGAAATCCACAAGCAGACAGCCCGGCACCACACCCTGGGCCTGGTAGTTAAAGATCCACCCCTGACCTAATCGGTTATGTTATCTATAGATTATAGACATTGTATAGAAAAGCACTGTAAAAATCCCTGTCCTGTTCTGTTCCGTTCTAGTTACCAGTGCATGCAGCCCCCAGTCACGTACCCCCTGCTTGCTCAATCGATCACAACCCTCTCACACAGACCCCCTTAGAGTTGTGAGCCCTTAAAAGGGACAAGAATTGCTCACTCAGGGAGCTCGGTTGTTGGAGACATGAGTCTTGCCGAAGCTCCTGGCTGAATAAAGCCCTTCCTTCTTTAACTCGGTGTCTGAGGAGTGTTGTCTGCAGCTTGTCCTGCTACATTACAAGTAATGCTCTGTCAGTACAGAGTAGTAGTAGGCATTTATGGCCTACCACATCCTTAAATATCTCCCACCTCTGGTAGTACTGAAACACTGCTCACATAAAGAGCTACATAGGGGATGAGAAGAAAACAGAATTCTGTTTACAAATTCAGGTATTTGATTATTAGGCTAATGTTTGTAAAGTAAGGTATAAAAAATCCAAAAGAGTGGATGTTCCCAAATCCATCTATATTTTCCCTTTTGTATTTATATGTTTATGTCTGATCATTTACTTCAATTAATGTATATGCTTTCACTCACTAAGTATTAATTAAAATGCTTACTTTATGCCAGGTACTGTGCTAGGTGATAAATACACACAAAAAAAATGAAGAAGGAATAACTACCTTCGAAGGCTTAACCCTCTGATAAGGAAAACAAGAGAACAGAAAAAATTTTATAAAGTAAGTAAATATCATAGAATTTTGAGGAAAAAAAAGATGTGCATGTATTTAGGTGCATATGTCACCAGAATGGGTCAAACGGCTACCAGACAAGAAGACTTTCAAGAGCCTTACCTAGGTCCATTTTCATGTACTTGGCCTGGTCTGCTTCCTAGAAAATTCAGAAATCTGATTTTTTTCTTTCAGCATACTAAGCATGAATCTACCTGTGGGACATCAACTTATATTAACTGAGCTTATCAACACTAAGGCATAGCCCAGAATTTTAATTTGCCAATTTACAATGAAACAGCGTTGTCTTGTAGATCATGGACAGAGGAATTGAGATTATATAGCCAGCTCATTCTGCTTCTGAAGACAGATCTACCACATTCTCAATTTTGGTTATACTATACACTCAAAAGAGTGTTTAGATTCGTATAGAATCACAATTAGGGTAATTGTTTTAATGCAACACGTGTTTGATGACTTCGGGCTGTAACAACCTGACTATCCACCTTCACATTAGAGACACATGCTAAAAATACCTAATTTGTTAAGACAACAGTCACCATAACCCAAGCCAAGGCAAAGGCACACTTTTCCTGCTGACCAAACTACATCTTCATTAACTAAATTTTTAAGTTTAAAGAAGAACTAATACCAATTCTACTCAAACTCTTCAAAAAATATTGAAGAAGAGGGAATACTTCCAAACTCATTCTACAAGGCCAGCATTACCCTGATAACAAAACGAGACAAGAACACAACCAAAAAGAAAACTATAGGCAAATATCCCACATGAATATAGTGCAAAACTTCTCAACAAAATACTAGGAAGTCCAATTCAACAACACATTTAAATGGTCTCACCATGACCAAAAGGGATTCATACCAGGGATGCAAGCATGGTTGAACATATGCAAATCAATGAAGGTGACACATCACATTAACAGAATGAAGAACAAAATCCATATGATCATTTCAATAGATGCTTAAAAAAGCACTTGATAAAATTCAACATCCCCTTATTTTAAAAAAAAAAAAAAAAACCATTATCAAACTGGGTATAGAAGGAACATTCCTCGAAAGGCCAAATATTACAAACCAACAGCTAAATCATACTGACCAGAGAAAAATTGAAAGCCTTTTTTTATAAAATCTAAAACAAGGAAAAGGTATGTACCTTTACCACTTTAGTCAGCATAGGACTGGAAGTCTCAGCCAAAGCAATTTAGCAAAAAAAGAAGAAAAAAATGAAGTGTTTCCAAATTGGAAATGAAGAAGTCAAGTTAGCCTTGCTTACAGATGACATGATCTTATATTTAGAAAAAAACTAAATAATCCACCAAAAAACCATTAGAACTGATAAATGAATTCAGTAAAGCCACATGATACAAAATCAACATACAAAGATCAGTAGCATTTATATATGCCAATAGCAAAGAATCTGAAAAAATAAATCAAGAAAGCAATCCCACGTGCTCTAGCTACAAAAAATATAAAATCCCTGAGAATCAACTTAACCTAAAAAAGTGAAGATTTACAAAAGGAAAACTATAAAACACTAAAAAAAGAAATTGAAGAGGACACAAAAAAGTGGAATATTATCCCATGCCCATAGATTGGAATATTTAATATAGTTAAAATAAAAATACTACCCAAGGCAATTTATAGATTCAGTGCAATCCCTATCAAAATATCAATGATTTTTTTACAGAAATAGAAAAAAATCCTAAAATTGATATATAACCACAAAAGACCCCAAATAGCCAAAGTAATTGTGAGCAAAAAGAACAAAGCTGGAGATATTACACTACTTGACTTCAAAATTTACTACAAAGCTATAGTAATCATATCAGCATGACACTGGCATGAAAAAAGACACACAAACCAATGGAACAGAATAGAAAACACAGATATAAATCCTCACATTTACAGCCAACTCATGTTCAACAAAGGTGCCAGAACATACAATGGGGAAAGGACGGTCTCTTTAATAAATGGTGCTTGGAAAATTATGTAACTATACACAGAAAAATGAAATGAGACTATCTCTCACCATACACAAAAATCAAAACGGGTAAAAGATTTAAATCTAAGATGTGAAGTATGAGACTAGTAGATGAAAATGTTGAGGAGAACATTCAGGACATTGGTCTAGGCAAAGTTTTTTTTATGTAAAACCTCAAAAGCACAGGCAAGCCAAGCAGAAATAGACAAATGGGATCACATCACACTAAAAGGCTTCTGCACAACAAAGGACACAATCAACAAAGTGAAGAGACAACCCACAGAATGGGGGGAAGTATTTGCCAATTATCTACCTGACAAGGGATTAATAAACAGAATATATAAGAAACTTCAACATATCAATAGCAAAAAACATAAATAATTCTATTAAAAAACGGGCCAAAGATCTGAATAGACGTTTCTCAAAAGACATACACACAGCCTACAGGTATATGAACAAACGCTCAACATCACTAATCATCAGAGAAAAGCAAATCAAAACCACAGTGAGATACCATTTCACCCCAGTTAAAATGGCTTTTATAAAGAAGACATGAAATAACAGATGCTGGCAAAGATACAGAGAAAGGGGAACCCTCATACACTGTTGGTGGGAATGTAAATTAGTACAGCCACTATGAAGAACAGTATGGAGGTTCTCCAAAAAACTAAAAACAGAACTACCATATGACCCAGCAATTCTAGTATTGGGCATATATCCAAAAGAAAGGAAATCAATACATCAGAAAGACATCTGCACTCCAGGTTTATTGTAGCACTATTCACAATAGCCAAAATATGGAATCAAAGTATCCATTAACAGATGAATGAATATAGAAAATGTGGTATATATGCACAAAGGAATATTATTTGGGCATAAAAAAGAGTGAAATTCTGTCATTTGCAGCAACATGGGTGGAAATGTACATCTTTATGTCAAGTGAAATAGGCCAGGCACATAAAAACAAATATTGCATGTTCTCATTCATATGTGGGAGCAAAAAAAGTGGATCTCATGAAGATGGAGGGTAGACTCGTGATTACCAGAGGCCAGGAATGGTGGGGAGATGAAGGATGAAGAGAAGTCAATTAATGAGTACAAATATGTAGTTTGATAGAAGAAATAAGACCCAGTGTTAGATAAATCAGTGGGTTAACTATTGTTTACAGTAACCTATTGTACATTTCAAAATAGCTAGAAGAGGAGGACTGAATGGTTCCAGCAAAAAGAAAAGACAAATATTTAAAGTGACAGATATCCCAATTTCACTGGTTTGATCTTTACAAATTATGTGAATGTATTATATTGTCATATGTGCCCCCAAAACTATGTATATCTGTTATGCAACAATTTTAAAATTTTAATTTGTCGAAAGTTGTATATGTGTGTGTGTGTGTGTGTGTGTGTGTGTGTGTGTGTGTCCCACAGTAAGCTATGGGCTCTTCAGTGTTTTATGCTAGCATGGTGTCATACCAAAAGATATTTTAGTTTTGCATCTAAAATACTTGAAAAATAAATATTTATAATACTCACTTGCAAAAAAATGATAAAGAAATATATTTAGTGGAAAATCTTTTTTTTTTTTTTTGACAGAGTCTTACTCTGTCACCCAGGCTGGAGTGCAGTGACGCAATCTCAGCTCACTGCAACCTCCAGCTCCTGGGTTCAAGCAATTCACCTGCCTCAGCCTCACAAGTAGCTGGGATTACAGGCACGTACCACCATGCCCGGCTAATTTTTGTATTTTTACTAGAGATGGGGTTTCGCCATGTTGGTTGGCCAGGCTGGTCTCGAACTCCCAACCTCAGGCGATCCACCAGCCTCGGCCTCCCAAAGTGCTGGGATTACACGCGTGAGCCATCACGCCCAGCAGTGGAAATTCTTAAAAATGCTTTTAGTTCCTTTGAATTAGTCATTCAATCTCTCACACCTACAATTCTCCCCTACCCCAGATAAATACTTACCCCCTCGCTCAGTCCCTTCAAACCAACAACACTTCTTCCTCACTCCACTTTCTTTTTGGTCCTTTTCCATATCAAATGTGGCTGTTATTCCAATAAGCATCAGTGTTCTTTAGCATGTCTTCCCCACTAATCGGTAGGCAGAGTGAGAGAAATAACCATGTCTTTCTTCTTTCCCTCTGCATCCCAGTGTGAAGAAGAATGCATTAAATATAGTTCACTGAACACGTTCACACACACACACTCATACCTACACACGATGTTTTACAGAATTTAATCCTCTGTATACCTTTCAATCACTTACATTGTACACAGTGAGCAATTTTCTAAGTCATTACAATTATTTTCTACAGACAACTTCTTACTGGTTGCATAATATTCTGCTATAGAGCTGTACCATAACTTCATCACTTCACTATATGGATTTTTTTTTACTTTTGTCTGCATATATAATGCAGCAATAAACATCACTGCACATGATTGTATATCTAAGATATTCCTTTAGAATGATTTTCTAAAAGTAGGACCATTGGACTTGACTCAATATGAACTTTTTAAGGTCTCAATATAGACTGCCAAATTGCTTTATAGAACAGTTGCAACAATTTCATTCCCACTGCACATAAATGTGCCCTTCTACCTGAACCCTTATTTACACAGAGTACTGGAGGTTTTTTATCTTTTCAAAATTGAAATTTGAGAAGTAATATATTTCTTTTGGATATTTTATTACTTTCAATAAGCACTGACTTGACCTGGGAGGCAACATGTATTAAATCCTATATAATAAATTATACAGTTAAAGTTTCCAGGGTGACCCTATGTTACCTATGTCCAAGTTGATACCTTACATTTTTTTTAAACAATGAATTTTTAACAACATTTTTTTAAACAAAATTAATGCATCCTCCATGTTCTTAATGTGCACCTCACTAGTGCTGCCAGGAGAGATAGAGGAAGACTGTCCCATGTGTAACAGAAACATGTAAGAAAAACTTTGGAGAGAACACAGAAGATGTTTTGGAGAAGAAAAATAATCAAAAGGAGTTTTCAATGAATGTTGTTTAACAGGCAGACAATGAAGGTAAATGCATGTGCTCGACTGTTACGGCATTGCATCAGTGAGTCACATATCCTGGCATCCAGGTCCTTTCTTGCTTTTCTTTTTATTTTTTTTAGAGATGGTGTCTCACTGTATTGCCCAAGCCGGCCTCAAATTCCTGGACTCAAGCAATCCTCCCACCTCAGCCTCCCAAAGTGCTGGAATCACAGGCATCAGCCACCGTGCCCAGTCCCAGGTCCTTTCATAGCCCTCTCACACACTGACTCTGAGCTTAGTTCATGACCTGCTTTGGCCAAGGGAACATCAGCAAACACAACAGAGCAGAGCCTTTATAAGCACTTGTCCAATGGAATTTGCCCACCATCATGTGAAAAAGCCCAGGGGAAAGACACAAAGAGAAAGAAGTTTAGTCATTCCAATCTCAACTGAGGCACCAGACACACAAGTAAGCCCATGTTAGACCATCTAGTCCCAACCAAGCTACCAGCTGACTACAGCCACGTGAGTGAGCATAAAGGAGACTAATGAAAATATCACCCAGTCACATTAGTGTCGTTTTCACAGCGACAAATTTAGACGGTTTGTTACGCAGCAATTGATAACTGATCCAACACACTCTAGGATAAGAAATGGCACTCATTCAGCACTTACTGAGTTCTTAGAATGCACAACCCTGAAAAAAAGACTTGCATATTAAATCAAGATAACTATGGTGTGGAAAGAGCTGTAATATTTGACAGGTAAGGACACAAAGGAAGGAGTCCTCTGCTTTGGTTAGTCAAAGACTTCACAGAAAAGAAAAAACATGAATTTTGTCTTGAAAGATAATCCAACTAACTAAAAATAAAAAGATTCAAATAGGTACAGAAAACAATGAAGGTGTAGAGGTGAGAAATCAACAGGATGTTCAGAAGCCTGTGTATGATTTCATACAGTAAAAGTAAAGGTAGCTGTTGGAGAGAATCAAAAGATGAAGCATTTTAGACTCAGATAAGGATTAAGTAAATTCTTAGTACCCCATTTTATGGATTTTAGGTGAGAATGTCAGAATAGAAGTCAGTTTGTGCTCTTAAGTCTACACTATACTGCCTCTCTAAAATTTCCAATATATTTCTGCAGCATCTAAATGCATCAATGGTCTTATAAGTGTCACATTTCAGTTTGAACATAGGTGATAAGGTATTAACAGGAAAAGTATTCAGCAGTGTTAGGTCGTATCTCACCTTGGATAGCTCATAAGTTCATTCCAGCAAATTCCTCATTGTATGTCTAATATCTAAACATCTAATTCAGCAAAATTTTAGAAAAATGTTCTTAAGATTTTTATGGAAATGTGATATGACTTAACCCACGAAAAAATTTAGCAAGATTTGGGATATGGATATAGAGATCTGAATGATAGCCAACAAACATGAAACCAGCAGCAATAACCTTTAAAAGGGTGTACTAATTGTTTATACTAATTATAGGATTAGATCCAAAGTTGTTTTAAACAAGCCACAAAATTTTTTGATATGCATATACTTGAGAGTAAAATGAAGCAATAGCAGCATCTATTCCTTAGCTGGCAAGAGCAAATTAATTATTAAGTCTCTAAATGCTATTTCCACATAAAGGCAGGATCTTACATTAGTAAAAATATAATGTAAAAAAAAATAATAATATGAAGACAAAGTCAAAATTTAGTTTGTAGATATCCATGCTGGTATTGGCTGTTCAACCACTATTGGTGTTTGTAAAAACAGAAAGGCATAACTTGTAATTCGATCTTGGAAAATGTGCAGTGCAGTAAGCTCCAAGACCTGGCCCTCCACACAGATACACACTATGAACGTTAACTGACACCAGAATAGATTGAGTTTCCCTTAACCTCATCAGTTGTTTATATTTACAGAAGAGTCTCCTTCTACTCTAGATAAGGAATGACAGATCATGCAACAAATTAGTGAGGGTCAATAGAACAAGAGTCAGCAGTTAATCGATAGCAGAAGGAAAGCTTCAGTGAAAGAAGACAGACCCCTGTTTTCTCAGGATAATCAAATGCCTGACTCATGTAGACTTAAAAAATTGACTTTTTTTTTTTTGGTCTAATTGACTGATGCCTGGGTATTATATAAGCCTTAGGTGTCCTCAAGATAAGACTTAAAACTATACTACTAAAGCCTGACATCTAATTACTTTTGTACCACATGAAAAACAGCCCAGTGAAATGGATGGACGTCTTTCTCACCAAGACGAGCCCTTGCTTTGAAAGAATCAAGGAGCTCTGTATAAGCCCTGTTGAGAACACCTTCTATAAGTCATGTCAGTGAGATAAAATTTTAGCTATAAACAGTGAAGATGAAGCTATAACTACAAAATACATTGCACACATAACTATCACTCTGAATTCCGTTTTGCCTATTCAAAACTGATCATACTATGGTACTTTATAACTTTAGATCCATTTTAAATCATAGAATATCAGACTTAGGAGGGACTTCAGAACTTTTCTAGCCTAATAAGTCACCTAAAAAAGAAACCTCATATACAGTATCTCTGAAGATCACATGTAAATGTACATGATGAAAAGAGAATAAAACAGATTATTAAAGTTAAAAAAACTCAAATCAGCCCATTTCATTTCTGAATCGTTCTAATTATAAGAAAATTCTCCCATAAAGTCAGGCTAAATAAGATTCCTGAAATTCTACTCAGTGGCACCTTCTGGAAATTCATCTGATTAATCTAGGATATTTGGTCTTGTGTGTATACCAAGCTGTATAACTGATCTTGTTACACTTTGCTCTTGTGAAACTTTTAGTATTTGTTATTTAAGGAAGCCTCAGATCATTTTCTATCTTTACATACTAAGATTTTTCAAATATTTCATTATTCTCAAAATGAGTGGTTTTTAGACATTTTTCATCCAATACCTCCATTAGTAAATATTTTAAAGCATGCTCTCAAAAATATATTTATATATATAAATTGCATACCTGTTTTTATACTATTAAATTAGTATAAGACATATACCAATATAAATTTTTAATAATGTCATTTAGAAAAATAAAGAGTTCTAAACCACCCATTAAACACAGTAGGTTATACATACACATTTATCTCTATCCTCATAAAAATGACAGTAAAAGATTTAGAGATGACAAAAAACTGAAATCTTGTAAGTCATGGAGGGAGGGGGCTTATTCAAAGAAGTGAAGTAACCGGAAAGGCAGCAAGTCAGTTCACAACACAAATTTGCAGGAAGACTTAGAGCTACAGACCCAGGCCTGCCCCAGAACCAGACCAGCTTCTATGGACTCAGACTTCAGGATAGCCCCCCGCAAGGACCCAAACCCCGGGCCCATCCTCATGAACCCAGATGTATTCCAGAGGGATGTCCCACCAAGGACCCAGTGGACCCTGCACCAGACCAGTACCTACACACCCAGGCTCCAGGCCCACCTTCAAAGACCTAGCCACCATACCTGTCCACACAGATCCAACTTCAGGCCTACTCCAGTGGAACCAGTACTCAGGACCACCCCAGGTAACTCAGGCACTAGGCTGGCCCCTGTGGACTCAGGTACCAAAACCACATACCTGCTGATTCAGACATCAGGCAAGCCCACCCAAGGAATTCAGTGGCAACCACAGACATGAACCCCACCAGTCAGCCCATCAAGAATCTCTGAATGAGCTGACTGGTAAAGGTTTTTACCTGCCAAACCCAGTCTTTAAAGACTGGAATAGACGTCTACTTCTTCAAATGTGAAAACGCCAACACAAGGCAATAAGGATAATGAATAAAACAACCAACAGAACAAAATAAAGCACCAGTAACTGACCCTAAAGAAATGGAGATCTATGAAGTGAGTGGCAAAAAACTCAAAATAATTGTCTTAAAGAAGTTCAGTGAGCAGGAGAACATAGAAAGACAACTAAATAATATCAGCAAAACAATACTTGAGCAAAACGAAAAGTTCTACAAAAAGAAACCGTAAAAAAGAACCAAAAGGAAATTCTGGAGCTGAAGAATAGAATGGCTTCACTGAAAAATTCCATCGGGAGCTTCAATAGCCAACTCAGTCAAATGGATGAAAGAAACAGGAAGCTCAAAAACAGGTCATTTGAAATTAGCCACCCAGTCAGACGACAGAAAGGAAAAAAAATTGAAAAGTAAAGAAACCTATGGAACACCATCAAATAAACCAACATACATAAGGTGGAAGTTCCAGATGGAGAAAAGAAGAAGAAAGAAGCATATTTAAAAGTAAAAAGCATAATTAAAGAAATAATGACAGAAAACTTCCCAAATCAAGGAAGGGAAATAAATATCCAGACCCATGAAGCCCAAAGAATAGCAAATAGATTAAATATAAAGAGATATTCACCAAGACACATTATAATCAAATTCTCAAAGTCAAAGGAAAAAAAAGAATCTTGAAAGCAGCAACAGAAAAGCATCTTGTCACATATAAAATAATCCCCATTAGATTATCACCAGCTTTCTTATCAGAAACTTTGCAGACCAGGACAGCATGGGCTAATATATTCAAAGTGCTGGAAAAAAAAAAGGGGGGCTGCCAACCAAGAATACTATACTTAGCAAATCTGTTTTTCAGAATGAAAGAGAGATGAAGACTCTTAGACAAAAATAAGCTGAGAGAGATCATTACCACTAAAATTGCCTTACAGGAAATGACAACAGGAGTTCTTCAAGTTGAAATGAAAGAACACTAACAAAATAAAAACATATGAAAGTATACAACTCACTGTAAAGGTAAAAATATAGTCAAATTCAGAATACACTAATACTATAATGGTGATGCATAAATAATTTTTGACTCTGATGTAAATACTAAAAGGCAAAAGTATTCCAAATAACTAGAGTTTTTGAAAGGTGTTAATGGATACACAATATAAAAATGTGTAAATTGTTACCTTTGGAGTAAGGAGAAGTTAAAATGTTGAGTTTTTGTAGGTTATCAAAGTTAAGTTGTTATCAGCTTAAAATGGACTATTTTAACTATAAAATATTTTATGTAAGCCTCATGGTAAACCCACACACACACAAAATCTGCACTAGATACACAAAAGATAAACAGACAAAAGAAGAAGAAAAGAACAAGTAACTATAAAACAGTTCAAAACAATCAGTGAGAACACATGGACACATGGTGGGGAACATCACACACTGGGGCCTGTCAGGGAGTCAGGGGCTAGGGGAGGGATAGCATTAGGAGAAATACCTAATGTAGATGACAGGTTGATGGGTGCAACAAACCACCATAGCACATGTATTCCTATGTAACAAACCTGCACATTCTTCACATGTATCCCAGAACTTAAAGTATAATTTAAAAACAAAACAGTTCAAAACAATTAACAAATAGCATTAGTAAGCCCTTATCTATCAATAATTTCTTTAAATGCAAATGGACTAAACTCTCCAATCAAAAGACATACAGTGGCTGAATGAATTTAAAAACAAGATCAAACCTTATGCTGCCTATAAGAGATTAATTTTAGATTTAAGCATACACATATGCTAAAAATGAAGAGATGGAAAAAGATATTCCATGTAAATGGTAACCAAAAGAGAGCAGGGGTACCTATGTATCAGAAAAATAAACTTTAAGTCAAAAACCATAAAAAGAGACAAAGAAGGTAATTACATAATGATAAAGGGGTCAATTCATCAAGAAGATATAAAAATTATGAATATATATGCACCCAACATCAGAGCACCTAAACATATATAAGCAAACATTAATAGAACTAAAGGAAAAAAATATGCAGCAATACAATAACAGTGGAAAACATAAATAACCCACTTGCAACAACGAACAGATCATTGAAATGGAAAATCAATAAGGAAATAGTGGACTTGAACAACACAGTAGACCCAATGTACCTGACAGGCATATGCATATATTCCATCCAACAGTAGCAGAAGACACATTCTTCTCAAGCACACACAAAATTTCTCCAATATAGATCATCTATTAGTCCAGAAAATAAGTCTTGAAAATTTTAAGAAAACTGACATTATATTAAATACTCCATAATGATATGAAAGCAGAAATCAATAATAGAAGAAAAATTGGAAAATACACAAATATGTAGGAATCAACCAATACATTCCTGAACAACCAATCAAAAAACATCACAACAAAAATGTTTTAAAATATCGTGAGTAAAGGGAAAATGGAAACACAACATACCAAAACTTAGAACATGCAGCGAAAGCAGTACTAAGAGGCAAGTTTACACTGATAAATGCCTACATTTAGATAAAAGACAGAACTCAAATATAAAAACCTAACTTTCAACCTCAAAGAACTAGAAGAAGAAAAACAAATGAACATCAAATATAGCAGAAGGAAAGAAATAAAGATCAGAACCAAAATAAATGAAATAGTGACTAAAAAAAGAGTCAGAGATCAATAAAATTAAGAGATTTTCTGAAAAGATGAACAAAATTGACAAACCTTTAGATTCCCTAAGAAAAAGAGAAAGAAGACTCAAATAAATAAAATTTTAAATGAAAAAAGGAACATTACAACTGAAAGAAAATAAATATAAAGGATTGCAGGGCACGGTGGCTCACAACTGTAATCCTAACACTTCGGAAGGCAGAAGTATGAGGATCACCTAAGCCTAGGAGTTCAAGACCAGCCTGGGCAATATAGTGGAACCCCATCTCTACAAAAATTAAAATTAAAGAAATTAGCCAGGTATGGTGGAATGTGCCTGTAGTCCCAGCTACTCAGGAGACTGAGACAGGAAGATTGCTTGAGCCCAGGAGATAAAGGCTGCAGTGAGCCATGATCGCACCACTGTACTCCAGCCTGGGCAACAGAGCAAGTCCCAGTGAAAAAAAAAAAAAAAAAGAAAAGAAAAGAGTCACAAGAGACTACTGTGAACAGCTATATACCAACCAATTGGACAAGCTAGCAGAAAGAGTTAAATTATGAGAAACATACAACCAACCAAGGCTGAATCACAAAGAAATAGAAAATGTGAACAGAGAAATCAGTAAGGAGATTAAATTAGTAGTCAAAATTATCTGAAGAAAGAAAAGCCCAGGACTCGATGGCTTCACTCATTAATTCTATCAAACTTTTAAAGATTAATCTATGCCAATTTTTCTCAAACTCTTCCAAAAAATTGAACTGGAGGGGACATTTCCAAATTCATTGTGTAAGGCCAGCATTACACTGATACCAAAGCCACACAAGGACAGTACAAAGAAAAAGAAAATTACAGAACAATATCCCTGGCAAATACTGATGAACAATTTTTCAGCAAAATACTAGCAAATGGAATTCACCAGCACATTAAAAAGATCATTCACTGTGATCAAGTGAGACTTATTCAGACATACAAGGATAGTTCAACATATGCAAATCAATAAGTATGATAAACCATATTAACAGAATGAAGAATAAAAATGCAGAAAAAAATTTATATAATTCGATGTCTTTTCATGATGAAAACTCTCAATAAATCAGGTATAGAAGGAATACACCCTGTCATATGACAAGGCCACAGCCAATATCATAGTCAGTAGTAAAAAGCCAAAAGTTTTTTCTCCATAAACAGGAATAAAACAAGATGACCACTCGCCATTTTTATTCAATATAGTATTGAAGCTCCAAGCCAGAGGAATTAGGCAAGAGTAAGAAATTAAAGGCATCCAAATTAGAAAGGTAGTAAAATAGCCTCTTTGCAAATGACATAATCATACATATAGAAAATCCTAAAGACTCAACCAGAACACTGTTAGAACTAATACACAAATTCAATAAAGTTGCAGAATACAAAATCAACATACAAAAACTAGCTACATTCCTGTACAGCAAGTATGAACTCAGAAATAGAAATTAAGAAAATAATGCCATTACAATAGCACCAAAAAATAAAATATTTAGTAATAAATTTTATCAAGAAGGTAAAATATCTATACACTGAAAATTATAAAATACCTATAAAAGAAACTAAAGAAGATAAAAATTATAAAATGCCTATAAAAGAAAGTGAAGAAGATAAAAATCAATAGAAAAGTATCCTGTGTTCATTAATTGGAAGAATTAATATTGCTACAATGTCATATAACCCAAAGTGATCTACAGATTCAGTGTAATCCCTATCAAATTCCAATGAAATTTTTCACAGAAATACAAAAAACAACCCTAAAATCCATACATTAGCACAAAAGACCCAGACTAGCCAAAGCAATCTTAAGCAAGAACAAACCTAGAGGAAACACATTACCCAATATTAAAATATACTATGAAGCTATGGTAATCAAATCAGTATGATACCAGCATAAAAAAGACGGTAGACCAATGGAACACAGTAGACAGTTCAGAAATAAATCTACACATTTATGCAAAATTGATCTTAGGCGAAGTTGCCAAGAATGCAAAATGGGAAACAACTGGTCTCTTCAATAAATGGTGCTAGACAAACTAGATATCCACATTTAGAAGAATAAAATTGGATTCTGATCCCACATCATAAACAAAAAGCAACTCAAAATGGATTAAATAGTTACATAAAACATGAAACTGTAAAAGTATTAGAAGAAAACTTAGGGGAATAGCTATTTGACATTGGTTTGGGCAGTGATTTTCTGGACATGGTCCCAAAAGCACATTCAACAAAATAGACAAATGAGATTACATCCAAACACCAGCAAACTAAATTTAACAACCCATTAAAAAGATCACTCACTATGATTAACTGGATTCATACTAGGGATGCAAGAATGGCTTAATGTATGTAAATTAATAAACATAATATACACAATTAACAGAACCAAGAACAAAATTCATATGATCATTTTAATAGATGCTAAAAAGCATTTGATGAAATTCAATATGTCCTTATGATAAAATCCCTCAACAAACTGGGCATAGAAGAAACATACCTCAAAATAACTAAGGCCATATGTAACAAAACCACAGCTAATACTGCATGAAATGGGGGAAAATTAAAAACATTTTCTTTAAGATCTGAAACAAGACAAAGATGTCCACTTTCACCACTTCTTTTCAACATAATACTCGAAGTCTTTGTCAGAGGAATTAGACAAGTGAAAGAAATAAAGGGCATCCAAACTGGAAAGGAAGAAATCAAATTAGCCTTGCTTGCAGACGACATGATCTTATACTTGGAAAAACCTAAAAATTCCACCAAAGAACTGCTAGAACTGATCAACAAATTCAGTAAAGTTGCAGGATACAAAATCAACATGCAAAAATTAGTAGCATTTATATAGGCAAATGACAAACAATCTGAAAAAGAAATCAAGAAAACAATCCTATTTACAATAACTACAAAGAATGTAAAATACCTAGAAATAAATTTAATTAAAGAAGTGAAAGATCTATACAAGAAAAACTATAAAACACCAATGAAAGAAATTGAAGAGAACACACACAAAAAAGGAAAGATATCCCATGCTCATGGATTGAAAGAATTAATGTTATACAAATGTTTCTACTACCCAAAGCAATATACAAAGTCAATATATCAATGATAAAATACCAATGACATTCTTCATAGAAATAAAAGAAACAATCCTAAAATTGATAAGGAACCACACAAAAAACCTCAAATAGCCAAAGCAATCCAAAAGTAATCCAAAATAGCAAAAGGAACAAAGCTGAAGGCATGACGTTATCTGACTTCAAAATATACCACAAAGCTGTAATAGCCAAACCAGCATGATGCTGACATAGAAACAGACACATAGACCAATGGAACAGAACAGAAGACACAGATCTAAATCCCCACATTTATATCCAACTCATTTTCAAAAAAGGCACCAAGAGCATACAATGAGCAAAGGACAATCTCAATAAATGGTGAGCTAGACATGATGGTGCATGCCAGTATTCCCATCTGTTTGGGAGGATTAGGTGGGAGGATTATTTGAGCCCAGTAGTTTGAGGCTATTGTGAGTGGTAATTGTGTCACTGTACTCCTGTCTGGGCAACAGAGCCAGACACTGACTCTAAACAAATAAAAAATAAAAAAATAGTGCTGGGTAAACTAAATAACCATATGCAGAAGAAAGAAACTATACCCCTATGTCTCAACATACACAAAAATTAAATCAAAATTGATTAAAGAGTTAAATATAAGACTTGAAACTATGAAACTACTAGAAAAACCACATTGGTGAAATGCTTCAGGTCATTGGTCTAGGCAAAGATTTCTTTAGGTAAAACCGTAAAAGCACAGGCAAGCTAAGCAGAAATAGACAAATGGGATCACATCAAACTAAAAAGCACATCAAAGGACACAACAAAGTGAAGAGACAACCCATAGAATGGGAGAAAATATTTGTCAACTATCCATCTGATAAGGGATTAATAAACAGAATATGTAAAAAGCTTCAACAAATCAACAACAAAAAACATAAATAATTCTATTAAAAAATGGGCCAAAGACCTGAATAGATACTTCTCAAAAGAAGGCATACACACAGCCTACAGGTATATGAACAAATGCTCAACATCACTAATCATCAGAGAAAAGCAAATCAAAACCACAATGAGATATCATTTCTCCCCAGTTAAAAGGATTTTTATCAAGAAGATATGAAATAACAGATGATGGCAAAGATACAGAGAAAGGGGAACCCCCATACACTGTTGGTGGGAATGTAAATTAGTACTGCCACTATGAAGAACAGAATGGAGGTTCCCCAAAAAACTAAAAACAGAACTACCATATGATCCAGCAATTCTTCTATTGGGTATATATCCAAAAGGAAATCAATACATCAGAAAGACATCTGCATTCCATGTTTACTGCGGCACTATTCACAATAGTCAAAATATGGAATTAACGTAAGTGTCTATATACAGATGAATAGATATAGAAAATGTGGTGTATGTGCACAATGGAACATTACACTCAGCTATAAAAAATGAAATCCTGTCACTTACAACAACATAGATGGAATTGGAGGTTATTAAGTGAAAAAAGCCAAGCCCAGAAAGACAAATGTCTCGTGTTCTCACACATATGTGGAAGCTAGAAAAGTGGATCTTATGAAGATTGAGAGTAGACCAGTGGTTATCAGAGGCTGGAAAGGGTAGGGAGTATGAGGGGATGTACAAAGGTTGATTAATGGGTACAAACACACAGTTTGGTAGAATAAATAAGGCCTAGTGTTTGATAGATCAATATGGTGACTACAGTTTACAATAATCCATTGTATTTTCAAAATAGCTACAGAAGAATTTGAATTATTTCAACATAAAGAAGACAAATTTAAGGTGATGGATATCCCAATTTCACTGATTTGATCTCTACAACTCATATGAATGCATTAAACTATTACATGTACTCCTTCCCCACCCCCTACCAAAAAAAAAAAAAGAAATATAGAGGTAAATGGCAAAAGAAACTACCTTTGGGGAAAAGGAATAGGGGTGGTAATGGGTGTAAATGGACAACACTATACTTCTGTTATAAACTTTTTTTATTTTTACACTCTTTATATGTATTTAATTTATACACCAAAATGTTACAGAAAAAAATAATAATTCTAATATTTTCTTTTAGAACCCAGAGGATTGTGAACTAAACTGTGTGTATACTCTACTTTGGAGACCACCATTTTAAACAATATGACAAATAAGAACCTATTTCAACAGCAAGACTTTGTAGGAGCTCTGTAACTGAGAAGGGGTCATAGAAAGAGAATACAGAGAGAATACTCCAGAAATCTCAAATAATGCATGAAAGACCTTTCATATTGAACCACGTAGTCTGCCTAGACTGAGCTCTAGGAATCCAGCAGTCCAGTGTCCTTTCCCTGCACAAAACAGAGATTCTCATTTCATGATGTGCAGAAAAACCACCTGGGGCATTAGTTAAAAATGCAGACTCCATACTCTGCAAGGCTCCAAAGATTTCTATTCAATAGAGACTATAACATTGGAACCCAGCAATCTTCATTTTTACAATCGCCACAGGTGATTTTATGACTTTGATGTCCAAATCTTAAGAAAGAATGTCAGGTGCTCTTCCTAAGTTCCATGCTGTAGGACAGGGATTGGCAAACTTTCTCTGTAAAGTATTAGATAGTTAATATTTTAGGCTTCAACAGTCATACAGTTTCTATCGCAATTACTCATCTTCACTGTTGCAGTGTGAAAGCAGCCATGGATCATATGTAAATGAATGAATGTTACTATGTACCAATAACAATGTAGTTACGGACACTGAAATTTAGATTTTATATTATTTTGACATGTTACTAAAAATTATTCTTTTGATTTTTTTTAACTACTTAAAAATGTAAAAAAAAAAAATTCTTAGCTCCAGGGCTATAAGAAAACAAGTATGGGACTGATTTGCCATCAGGCAGTAATTTGCTGATGAAAGGTGACAACCAATGAGTGCATGGGGAGAAGGAAGCTCCAGAAACCAGAGTGAGAAAATAAATCATTCATTCTCCTTGTCATTAATTTGATAATATTTATATGTGACAATATTGGATATAAGGATTAATAAGATTATTTCATTACTTGAAGCTGGTTTAGAGAGACTGACCCCTGTAATTAAACATATGTTCATAAACATGATTATTTATACATCAGTTTTTAGGGTTTCTGAAGTATTCCTATGACCAGAACATTAGGATAATTCTTTCCTCAGAGTTAAGCTTCCATAAAGATGGTCTGACATCTGTGAGATTTTACTTGTCTTATATTTTCAAGCACCCACAGTTAGATTAGCAACTATTCCAATTAAAGCTTAGCTTCTAAATCACCTAATTAAGGTTTTTTCTCTTTAATGTTTAATATAAAAATACACAGACCAGGCTGCCATATATTATATCACATTGTTTACCATCAATTTTTGTCATTATTCTAGATTGTTTTGTGACTAACCAAATAAACTAATCAGTATATTTTTATATCTTCAAGTTATAAATGGAAGTGTTTTGAAGGAATATAATCATTTGAGATGATTTCAGAAATAAAATGTGTATATTAAGAGCTCAAATTATATATCTTTGATTTTATCATGAAAAGTGATTAATGATTCCAAAATTTAGTGCAACTTAATGGTCTGTTAGAGCTTGAAAATAAAAAAGAAGCAAATACTTCTGCACAGCTTTTGCAGACCTCAGTCAACATTGAAATAATCACGTGGTCTTGGAAATGAGTCTGTCTACAGTCTGTTAGCAGCTCTGCCCCATTTGCCTCTTAGGTACCACTTCACATGCAGATAAACAGTTTTCAAAAAAGCAATGAAACTTTGATTTGTCCCATTCTGAGTGATTCTTACTGATTTGATTAATTATCCAACCTTAAAATTCCTTGAAAGACACTCAAAAATTATGCAAATGTCAACAGCAGTCAGGAGAGCAGATGTGTAGAAATGTAGACAAGAAAATAAGGCTTTGGCATTTGAACTCTATACTCAGTTTATCTCATAGGTACCCTGTGTTATTTCCAATTCTGTCTGAATTATTCCCTGAAATCTCCCTTCTCCCTTTCTTTCAATCTCCTCTCCTTCATTCACTCACTCTCATTTACTGTTCCACACCCACCCTACTCTTGATGCTCTCCAGAAAGGCTAGCCCCTTCAACATTTTTACATTCATCTTCCAACATTAGATTACTTCTTCAGATGCTCACTCTATAACATATTCTTTTAACACAGTTTCAATTAGGAGTAAAAATAAAAAGAAAAGAAAACATTAAGATCTCACATAAAAACTCTTCCAATTTACAGGAAAGCAACAGAAATATAACCACTTTTGCTTTAGTCTCTGTCAGGAATCGCCAGTATCCCCTACAAACATACTATAGAGATAAAAAGAACGATGGGGTAAGCGCTGTGGATCCTGCCTACAATCTTAGCACTTTGGGAGGCTGAGGTCGAAATGCTTGAGGCTAAGACTTCAAGGCCAGCCTGGGCAATATAGCAAGACTCCATCTCTACAAACATTTTTTAAAAAATTAATCAGATGTGGTGGCACACATCTGTAGTCCCAGCTACTTGGAAAGCTGAGGTGGAAGAATCACTCGAGCCCAGGAGTTCAAGGCTGCAGTGAGTCATGATCATGCCACTGCACTCCAGCCTGGGCAACAGAGCAAGACCCTAACTCAAAAAATAAATAAATATAACAATGGAAGGTGAGCTGCCTCTGAATCTGGGATCAATTAGATTCAGTACTTCATAGAGTTTCACTAACCTGCTGCTTCTGTTGTCCCTTATGATAGTACTAATAAACTCTTAGAGTCTATTCATTCTTTAGTTGTTTGCTATACATTCCTTAGTGTCTGTTCAAGACAGACACTATTCCTTCAAACCAATTTGTTTATTATGTCTATATAATGGAAATTTTCCTCAAGTACTCCAATTGGAAATAAAAGCATGTAAAATGTTTCAAGTGCAGACAGAAGCAGCAGAATGTCTATACTAATGCTGCCTCAGCCACAAGGAACAAAGATTCTCAAACAAGCAACTCAGTTCAAATTTAACTATTGAAATATGATTTTTTTTACCAAAAAGACATGTACATCTAAAAAACCTCCACATTCACAGAAAAACTGAAAAAAACCTTAAACAGATACAATATTATTTTATTCCATTTCTGCACCATTAGATCAGACAGATGTGTTGAGAGTAATACATCAGCATATATACCTACAACAAACAACCTACAGAATAGTGTTGGGAGCATGAAAGTGCCTTTCTTGGCATCTTCTTTGACTAGGAGGACCTCCAACTGACTGTTTCCATGAAGGAATATGGGCCCAGTGAGGCCAAAATCTTTTAATTTTTGAAAGAAGCCAGAAATCTGGATTTTTAAAGTGAGATTACCCAACATGAAATGCTAGTAACTAATTTTTAAACAATTAAATAAGTGTGCATGTTGCTTTAAAAAAAAAATGTTAGTCCACGAGTTACCAGTCTGTCATATCTACTCTAAAGAAATTATTCATCATAGCCCTTCCAACTCTATCATCATGGAGCAACTCTTGAATAAGTCTGTGATAAAACCAAAGCAAGAATTATGTCCCATCTATCACCTGCCTTAGGACTAATGATTGCATATTTTGGTAAGAGGAATATGGGACCATGATTAGAAGTGGACTAAGGCAATACTCACTTTCTTCTATTTATGATCAACTTAGTGTGTGAGAGATAAAGGTGAAGTAGGCTGAGAATGCAGTGAGGCTCTACAGAAAGGTAGCTGGCCTCTTGGAGAAAGACGATTTAGCAAACATGTGTATAGAATGATGAGGTGATAGAACAGAGCTAAAGGCCAAGGTACCACCATATCATATATCTGTAACCCTAAGGCTTAGATCCTAACTCCTGGTCTTGCCAGGGGAAGGGCTAGTGTTTCCCCCCAATAATTCATCTTCTAAACCCCACATACCAAGAGCTGAGTATCTTGCTAGGAGCCTACCATCCAGCCATGTTACATGCCATGTTATATTTCTGTGCACAGTTCCAGAGGTAAAGGACAATGAGGAACTGCATACCTCCTACTGCTCCTCTCCTCTAAGTTTTCTCCAACAGATGTTATTACAGGCCTAGGTGCACTGTCAGGTGACTCAATCTTGCAAGGCCTTTAAACGACCTAGCAGAGGCTTCAGAAAGGAAGCGAGGAGAAGCTCAATATGCAGGTTGAGGCTTCAAATCAGAATGATGAAAGGAGAGACTTTGTGGTTTGAATATGATCAAGCCCAGTTCCCTAGGACTGAAGGTTAAATGTTGATTAAGGCAGGACAGAAATACAGCCACAAATGCATTTACTAGCAATTCCCCTGAGTCAGAACTCTCAGTAATAGGTGAAAAAACAAGGTCCAATGAAAGGAAAGTGAGCTGGGATTCACAACTAACAGTGGGAAGCTTATTATTTTTATTGTAGAAAAGCAGACTGCCTAATGCAAAGAATGCCGCAACATCACAACCTGCAGCTAGATCATCAGCAAAGATCAGTTAGTAAAGTCTTACTATTGTTCTTCTACATTCCTGCTGTTTCAGGTCAGCATAAAAATGACTGATTATAATACTGGTCAAAAAACAGTAAGTTTTCCTTGAAAGGTATTTTGTCCCGTTAAAAGCAGTTTATACAGATAAAGTCATGTCAGTGTAGGGCTTTGAGGCTCTCTGGAAGGTTTAAAGTAAGAAGAAATGATGTCCACCAACTAGGCATGAACTGGTAAATTGTCTAATCACCCACAAGATGCTTGAAAAATTTTTAATTCAAAATTTTTATAAAGTAAAGATGGGGTTTTGCCATGTTACCTAGGCTGGTCTCAAATTCCTGTGCTCAGGCAATCCACCCACTTTGACCTCTCAAAGTGCTGGGATTACAGGCATAAGCCACTGAGCCTGGTTAAGATCTGTAAAAATTTTCAACGTGAAAATGTTGAAAAGGTGACTTAGTTCATTAAGAAAGATTGGATTATTGATCAAATGAAAATAAAGATGACTGTGAAATTAAAATTAACATGATAAAGATTGGTAATTCCTTTGTCACAGGCATTGAGCAAAAAATGAAGACTTGATTTTTTTTTGGCCAAAACATTTAGTGGTACAGTACAGAAATTAATCAGTAATGAAACAAATCAGAATGAATCCCCAATATCCTGAAGTTTTATAATGTTCAAGTGCTAGACTCGTAGGTAGTGTAAATGTTGACTTTTTATTTCAAATCAGTGGAATCCTTCATAAAGAATTCGTGCTACACAGGTAATTAGGCTTGATGGACAGAAATGGTGAAGTGTTTGGGTTTTCTTAGTAATTCAAAAGAAACAAACTATAATTTCTTCACCACACTTTCACAGTAAAACTAGGTTGATTTCAATTTTCTTCATATCCTGAGCTAAAATTTTTGAATACTTTAATAAACCAAAATGAACAATCAAGAGATAATTTTCTTACCTTTCAAAATGTGAAAAAAGGGGGTTTTGGTTCTGAGCACAATTCCAGGAACATTACTAAAATATTGCAGAATACGTGTACAACCTTCCAATCTTATTATTCTGATGAGGACACTGCTCCTTTGGATGTATATAACCAGGTATATTTTTAAGAAATCACTTTAATAATTTTATTTAAGATTTTCTACCATGAGTACTTCATAAAGGAATCTGTATGGCTCAAGGAGGGGATGGATATTCTCGAGACCGATGGCTACAGGTGCAGCACTTTATAAGGCTAGAACTCTTCCTTGTCTGAACTACCTTTATGCCTCTCTTCTCTCCTGCTACCTCCTGTTTACGAGGGTCTCCGTAGACTAGTAAACACTTTTTTCTTGGTTTGTCATATATGTTTGGCCCTTTTGAGAAAACGCATTCATTTTTCATTATGAGCTCTAGAGATGCAATGAGGAAATCTCCCCATCTAGAAAGGCAATCCTGATATCATTCACAGGATGTAAGGATTCTGGGCAGCATACACATGATCCCCCTTTCTGCACAGTGGGGATCAGTGTTAGCTGCCTGCTCCAGGATCCATGTTTCCTCTGTGTGGTTTAACTGCTAATGTAACTGTCAAGTGCCCCTCAGGGTTTCTCTTCTGCTAATCACAAGAGTTTTCCTAATAGTTCTCCTTGGCTTGGGTTAACTCCCTGAACTCTAACACCACGACAAATCATTAGCTGCTTCATCTTCAACACTCAGCTGGAGATAGCCATAATACATTGTCAAGGGGGAATAATTGGGGAATGAACAGTAAGGCTTTAAGTTTAAAGCCCTTAAGCAATAAATGTGGCCTTTTCCTCAAAAGGCAGCATACACATCTTAAAATTCAGCACATAGCAAAAGCCATTGTTTCTCTTTGCTATTCCTGACTTTTGATCAAGTCAGACAAGTTGAGAGCACCATACTTGATATTATGATATAGATTTTATCATTCATTTCCTACTTAAAAGGAGTGGGAAGATCCACTATTGACATTATGTTTAAGATGCTCCCACAGAATCTGTTCCAGAATTTCTATCAGAATTTTAAAACCTGAGAATCAGGAGCCCAGTTTGCAATAAAATCAGAATAAGTTCTCTATAAATTAGAGAGAACTTTGGGGGAACTTTTTTTAATACATGAGCAAACAAGTTGAAAGAGGAGAAAGAAGTTCTCATTGCAGTCTCAGAATCCTGGGAAAAAAAACCCTATAATTTGTGAAATACTAGAATTGTGTACAGCTGATTGGTGGGATCCTAGCAATGCACAATGAGAATTTTATTTGTAAATTAGAAAACTCGGGTTTCATATTTTTATCATTTGAGAAAATCCTTTGTAAAAAAAAAAAAAAGACATTAGAGATCTATGAGCCATTCCTTACCTTACTCCTCTTCTTATATACTCCATGCAGGCCTAAGATAAAAAGTTAAAAGCAGCAATCAGATGTATAATGCCTATTAATGAGCAATTATTTTAGGATTCTTCATATATCACCCCATTTTAATTTTCCATATTATGACAATATATTTGAGGGCTCTTTATTCCATAACTTAATTTCAGAAATGTTTTTCTGTATGTTTGATAAATATCTAAATCAATTTAAGAAAAAAGATCTCACTATTAGCTTCAAAAAATATATCACTTCCTTTGGCATGTGTGTGTGTATGTGTGTGTGTGCTTATGTACATGTGTGTTTATGCATAGTGCTGTTCTTATAACCAGAAAAGTTTTACCTTTTGGGGAGTCTCTGTATTCACATCAAGGAATGCTGGTACAACTTCAGACAGGAAGCTCTCAAGCTCCTTCGGGTTCTATTTTTAAAGAGATTGTTTTGACAGCTCTAATTATGGCATACAGAAATGCCAGTTGGGTAGCTGAACTTGCATTTCAAAGACTAACCTTCAGGAATGTATTTATTAAATATGAAATATGAGCATTAAGAATATCATACATTTTACATAGAATATTTTGGTTCCAACATGATTTCTTCTCTGGAATCAGTGGTCAGTCCAATCTCTTGCTACTATCTTACCTGAATTATGCACTAGGTAAGGCATTTTCCTGTAGAAAGCAGCAAGTAACTAGAACAACCTCTGTGCAGGAAGGCCCTAACAACACGTATTACACTCCTTTTTCTGAATTATATTCTGATGATAATAAACTGAAGTAGTTTAAAAAAAGAAAATTAATTTTATTATAAGAAACACCTAATGAAGCTTTT
Source organism: Homo sapiens (assembly GCF_000001405.40). Lineage (NCBI taxonomy): Eukaryota > Metazoa > Chordata > Mammalia > Primates > Hominidae > Homo > Homo sapiens. Next base: position 118,825,836 of record NC_000005.10, read on the forward strand.
ATTCACTTATGACAGAGATTTACCACATGATGAGAACATTCTGGGCTCAAAGAAAAATTCAGATTCTATTCCCCACTCAAAAAGGAAGTAGATGTGACATGGTTTTTAAGGTGATAAATTAGGGAATTAATGACTAGATCACAAGGATTGAGACAAACATTTTAATCTAACAAGTATATATAAAATATTACTGTTGTTATATCCTTCCTTACAAAGACCAAGACAGGATTAAAGGATTTACTAAAGACTACTGATGCCTACCACTGTGATAAAAAATGAAAGAAAAGTAATAGGTCATTTGCCTGAAATTAACATTATGTTTTTTTCGACTAGACATTTATAGCTACAAAAAAAGTATTAACTGGATGGTCATGTCATACAAGGTGGCTTTCTTCTTTTAATAACAAGGTTTATTTTAGGAATAAATATCTATATTAAAATATCCTAGCCCTACTAATTTTTCCTATCTAAACTCCAAATATTGGAAAATCCAAATAGCTAGATTTTTGCATACATCGTTGCAAAAGTAGCCATTTTGATGACCCTGAAACAGTGCTCCAGCATTCCAAAATACAATTTGAGTTAGAAAAATACTGATCATGATTGATAACTTTTAAATGTTAAATACATTTAAATTATTTGAAAACGGATACACTGTATGTGTCTTAACTCTTAAATAATTAATGCAAATAGCAATAATGTTCTCCAACCATTCTAAATAAATGCAAGTTGTACTGTACTTTTAGAGCTGTCAATAAATCTTCAAGAGTGAAACCCAAAAGGAATTCCAAAAGGAATTCTTTTGCAAGATTTGTTTTGATGGCTCCCAGTAGATGGACTAGAGCAAAATCCATCTTACGAGATGAAAGAAGAGAGCCCATTTGTTTTATTATTCAGAATAGTCTCTTCTGTATCTTTATCTTAGATGCAAAAAAGTACTTCTGTACCTTACAGAAGAAATTCAGATAATTATTTCTTTGCAGCAGTAAACATGAACTTGCTTATCGTTTCTAATTCATGCTAAAATAAGTATCCCTATTCTATACTAAACATATATGATGTCAAGATATTTTAAACACCAAGAACAAAATGTCTTTTTAAAAACCATACTATTCCTTATTCTTTAATTTGACAACTATTCACATTGAACTTTAAGGGCTAAGCAATATGGTAGACACGTGAGGAGACAATGGCAAGCAAAAACTTGGCAGAACTTGCAGTACAATCAAGGAGATGGATATTAATCAAATAGTTACCCAAATAAAAAATACTGTACCTGCAAAATGGTATCTGTATTAGTCCATTCTCATGCTGCTAATAAAGACATATGCAAGACTGGGTAATTTATAAAGGAAAGAGGTTTAATTGACTCTTAATTCAGCATGGTTGGGGAGGCCTCAGGAAACTTACAATCCTGGTGGAAGGGGATGCAAACAAGTCCTTCTTCACATGGCAGCAACAAGGAGAAGAATGAGCAAAGAGAGAAAAGCCCCTTATAAAACCATCAGATCTCAGGAGAACTCACTCACTATCATGAGAACAACAGCAGGGGAGTAACTGCCCCCATTATTCAATTACCTCCCACCAGGTCCCTCTCATGACACGTGGGGATTATGAGAACTACAATTCAAGATGAGATCTGGGTGGGGACACAGCCAAACCCTATCAGTATCAAAAAGAACATAGCTTTATGTAAACTGTATATAATAGGGCTATGTGACTTGATGAAGTTGGTCAGGAAGGTTCCACCAAGAAAATTGTTAGTAACCCAACATCTGAAGGATGTGAGACACTAACCAGGCCAATAAGAAAGCAAAAACATGAAAGAGAGAAAGATACGACATGTGCAAATGTCTTACAGTGGGAGGGAACATGGCAAACATGAGGGCCTAAAAGAAGATATTCTATATCTGGGAGAGAAGGGGTAGCAAAGAAGGGAACAGGGCATAAGATGAGGCTGTAGATGTAGGTTGACCATATAGAGTATTTTAGCACATATTATGCTTTGACTTTGTTTTTATTCTAAGTGCAATAAGAAGCCATTAAAGATGTTAGATAGGAGACATACCTCCACTTTCCATTCTTTTATCCTAATCACCTACAGGCTTTCCACTGACCTTTCTCTCACCGTGTTCCAGGGAAAACAGAATGCTTTATCTAATAACCAATTTGGGAAGAATATCTAGACGTGAGTAGTTCAGCTCAAAAGTCCTTCTTCTCTTTGCAAGTAGGCTCGCCTCAGAAGAAGTTACAATGTAAATCTTACTTTGGCAGACCTCGCATGAAGGCAGGCTACCCGGTCCAGTACTGCCCAGGGATGCGTGGGCAAACCTGCCTGATTCTGAAGCACAGTTTTCTATTTAGTTCTCATATAAACCACATTCTCTATGTACCACCTGCAGTGATAAGGATAATATTTTCGTTCTTCTTTTACCTCTATTCCTTGTTTTATTATATTGCTTATAGTCCAGGCCAAAAGAGGCATGCTGTTTATTAGAGGACCCCTCAGAGCGTCAGCAGAGCAGTTTTAATGAGGGAGTCTCAGTGATAAAAGAAATGGATGAAATATTCGTTGAGAAGAGCAGAAGAGTAACTTAAGAGAAAAATAAGAACAAATTGGACAAATAAGGTGGCCTTTCTTGATGTTGATCATGTATTCATAACACTATCAGTGTCCTCTCTTTAAACTTTTTTTTAGCGCACTCATCTCTTTAAGAGAGGTATAAAAAAGTCAATACTTGGTCTCAGCTAGGGTTACAGTTTTGCTAGATAATGTGACTCAAAGAAAGAGAGGGGCACAGGATTTCAGGATATTGGCAAGAGTTTATCAGTTAATTTACTGCTGGATCTCCAACGCTTAGATCAGTGCCTGACAGTTATTAGATGCTAAGCATATATTTGTTGAATGAATGAATAAGATGGTTTAGAAAACAAAGTCGGGGTCTGATTGAGCAAAAGACAGTACAGGGATAAATAAACTTAAAGACTGGTTGAGGTCAAAGAAGGATTACAGTGAAACTATTAATACTTGAACAAGATGGAAGAAGGGAGGTGGTAAGATACTAAAAGATCATTTTCAAGTTATAGCTTTACAAGTGAAATGGTGGAACACAGGGCCATGAAATGGGAGGGTGAGAAGTGGAGGAAGTTATTGAGGATGTGGAGGTTAAAAATCTTCGAGGCCATAACACGATATCAGGCAGGCTGCTATCAAAACCTGAAAGGAGCAGAAAGAGTATAAAACTTGATGCCCCTTCTTCATTCAGTGGGGAATGAAGAAATTCATACTTCATTAATAATTGGTACAAAGAGAAAGAAAAAAATTCTTGCCTAATTCATGTCAGTATTTCTTGTAAGTCTTCATCAATTCTACTCCTATCTCAATTCAACTCCTTCTTATCCTTAGGCTTATGATCCAGTTATAACTTTTAGCCAGGATTCATTTCCTTGAACTTAAATATTTGAGTGTACATGAGTCCATTAAAGTTCTAACAAAGTTGTACTTGTAGGATTACCAATGTCATCAAACTGGGATATGAAGCATGGTGAGAATATAGGAAAATTTATCACACAGCATAGAAAGTAGGGTGTGACAGTTAATATGAAAGGCTCAGGAGTCATAAAAACCTAAGTCCAAATGCTGATTATACCACCATTTGCTAGGATTTGCCATTTTCTTTAAAATAATAAAAAAAAGCCTCAGCTTCATTTGTAAAATGCATATAACAACAGAACAAACTTCATAGGGTTCATTATGAATATTAAGTGAAATAATGCACTTAAAAACTTTGTAGGATCCAAATGCATACTAAACATTTATTATTGTTTTTTTACAAAGGTTAAAGTATTTTAAAAGAAATAAAAAATATCTTACTACATATGTACCTATGTGTGTGTGTGTGTGTGTGTGTGTGTGTGTATACACTATAAAAGAGTACAGAAGAGCTGATAATAAATAGCAACAGTCTTCTTCCCTACTTCTCTGGATACAAGTCCTTCACCATATATGTGACTTGTAAATCTTTTCTCACAGTTTGTGTCTCATCTTTCAAAGAGAAGAAATCTTAATTTTGATACAAATATGCTCTTTTCTTTTATAGATCATGCTTTTGGTGTTGCATCTGAGACATTTTAGACAAATATAAGGTCACAAAGATTTTCTCTGTTTTGAAGTCTTACATTTACATCTAGGATCCATTTACAGTTAACTTCTGTATAAAATATGAGGTTTACGTAGAAGTTACATGTGTGTATTAAATTGTTCTGGCATTATTTGTTGAAAAGACTATCCTCTCTTACTGAATTGCATTTGTACCTTTTTAGAATCATCTTTTATTTTTAAAACACTTTTTTTTTTTTTTGAGATGGAGTCTTGCTCTGTCACCCGGCTGGAGTGCAGTGGTGCAATCTCAGCTCACTGCAACCTCCGCCTCCCGGATTCAAACAATTCTTCTGCCTCAGCCTCCCAAGTAGCTGGGACTACAGGCGTGCGCCACCACACCCGGCTAATTTTTTGTATTTTTAGTAGAGACGGGGTTTCACTGTGTTAGCCAGGATGGTCTCGATCTCCTGACCTTGTGATCCACTCGCCTTGGCCTCCCAAAGTGCTGGGATTACAGGCGTAAGCCACCGCGCCTGGCCTTAAAACACTTTTGAAACTTCTGCTACAACAAGATATTCCAGGTTTATTCATGTACATTCTCTACTGCAGTCCTAGAATTAGCTATTTCTCCAGGGAGTGCTGGGTGCCTTTAATGAGAAATATGTGTGTACTTCTTTACAGAATTTTGCTGGAAGTCCCACCCAACAACTTTCTTTTATGTATCATCCATACCCAGCTGCAAAAGATGCTAGACAATATAATTTTTTAGTGTGGTAGACTTTGTAGAGTACTGTTGTTATGGAAGAAAGATAAGCTAGATATTATGAGGTAATTTACATTTGTTGATAAGGTGAATAATGTGATAGAGAATAACTTCTTAAGACCAAAAGCACAACTTACATTGATACAGTTGATAACATTAACAATTAAATTTACTCTAGAATATATACTATTCTCAAAATATAGTCACAGTGGGAGAAGATTTATAACTTTCAAAAGAGAACTGGTGTCAAAATCAAGAGAAGCCACACCTGATGAACCTTATCCACTTCTAGGTTTCATACAGATGCAGATATCATGGATTTTGAGCTGATGCCATAATATGAGTCTTTTGGGATCATGGAAAGGAATTAGCGAGTCTTGAATATGGAAAGATGTGAATTGTTGCCCCAAAAGGCAAACTGAAGTAGGTTGTCTGCAAAAATAGCTGCCAAGAATTCCTACCATTCCCATGTGTGTATGCCAATCTTTTTGTCAAGAGATCGAGTTTATAACCTTGTATGAAACTCAAATCCCCTCATAACTTGTATCAACTGCTAGAATATGGTAGGAATTACATCGTGTGAATTCCAAGACTTCAGCTACAAGAGGGCTGGAAGCTTCTGCTTTCATTCCCTTGAGGGCCTGAGGCACCATGTCAAGTAGTCTGGCCATCCCGTTCAATAGGTCACATGGAAAAAGGCAAAGAGAGCCTGTTTCAGCCATTCCAGCTGAGGTAAAAGACATGTAAATGAAGCCATCTTGGATCACCTAGCTCTAGTCAAGTCTCCAGATGACTACAGCTGTAAGAGCAATCCCATAAGACTAGCAGAGGAACAGCATACTTGAGACTAGTCCAACTGAGTGCAATACAGCTATCAAAATGATGAGCAAATAAATGGTGGTTGCTTTAAAGCATTAAGTTTGAGGTGGTTTGTTATAAAGCAGTAGATAACTAAGTGTGATGATATTTGTGAGCCACGTAAATAACTGCCAAAGAGCAACTTCAGTAAGAGGAGGATCTTAATAATCAGGTGCACAAGATGACACAATCTATGGATATTAGTCTTTTTCTCCAACCACCCATGCCCTTGCCCAATTGGCCCATGAACAAAGTGACCATAAAGACAAGGATAAAAATTACACATGGGTTCAGCAACATGGATTTTCATTTCCCAAGGCTGATCTGACTACAGTCACTGCTGAGTACCCAAAATGCCAATAGCAGAGACCAACATTTAACTCCATACCATTCCATGTCTAGATCAGCCAGTCACTTAGTGCCAGGTTGATTATACTGGCATCACAGGAAGCTCAGTGTTTTGTTCTCATTGAAACAGACATTTACCCTGGACAGAAATTTTTCTTCTCTGCCTGCAATGCTTCTGCCAAAACAACCATCTGTGGACTTAAGAGAAACACATATTCACTACTGTGATATTCCACACATCATTGTTACTGACCAGGAAACTTCTTTTGTAGCAAATGAAATCTGGCAATGGGCTCTTGCTTATGGAACTCACTGGTATTACCACATTTCCCATCACCCTGAAGCAGATGGCTTGATAAAATAATGAAACCTTTTGAAAATTCAGTTACAGCACAGTGTAGGATAATTGTATGGCTGAGATAATGTCCTCCCGAAGGTGGTACATGTCCTGAATCAGCAACAAAAATATGGTACCATTTCTCCAATTGCTAGGATCCATGGCTCTGGGAATCACAGGGGTAGAAGTGGAAAAGGCTCCTCCTTAACCCTTAACCCCAAAGATCAACTAGCAAAATTTTTGTTTCCTGTCCCTGCAATTCTAGGTCCAGCTGGTTTAGATGTCTTAGTTCCCAAAGGAGTGATGCTTCCATAAGGGCATACAACAGTGGTTCCACTAAACTGGAAGCTGAGACTTCCACCTAGCTATTTCAGTTCCTCATGCCAGAAAACCAACAAGCAAATAAGAAGAAGATTATAGTACTGACTGAGGTAACTGATCCTGACTATCAAGGGCAACTGGGTTGCAAAATACAAAATGTGAGTGAGAAAAAGTATGTCTAGAATGAAGATCCTCTACTGTGTTTCTTAGTTCTCATGTGTCCTGTGACAAAAGTTAATGGAAGAGTGGCATCAGCAAGATGGCAAAATAGAAGATCCCCCAGTATCACACCTCTCAAAAAAACAGAAGCAGAAACTATTTAAAGACAAGAATACCACTCTAAATTAACAAGAACTTATGGGAGGAGCACAGAAACTCCCTTGGCCCATAGAATGTAGAGGCCACGACCAGTAAGAGAAACAACCATTTCAGATTGTGCAGCCCTCTCCCCAGATCCTGTATAACATCATTCACAAAAAATTTCCCTAGACTCATGATTTCCAAAAATTTCAGGTGAACATACACTCTCCCCAATGGTTTGAGAGTGTTTGTGGGGAGTCCACTCCTGCCCACAGGAACCACTGAGAGTACCACAAGGATACTAATATACATTCTGACCAACAGTATCCTAGCTAGTGTTCCACTTCCTCTGCATCTTTGCCAGCATTTGTTATTTTTAGTCTTTTTAATAATAGTCATTTTAACTAGGCTGAGATAATATCTCATTGTGGTTTCCATTTCCATTTCCCTGATTAGTGATGTTGAGCATTTTTTTTTCATTTACCTGCTGGCCATTTGTATGTCTTCTTTTGTGAAATGTCTATTCAGTTATTTTGCCCATTTAGTAATTGAATTATTATTTTTTGCTATTGTTTGAGTTCTGTATATATTCTGGTTATCAATTCTTAGATGTGTAATTTGCAAATATTTTCTTCCATTCTATAGGTTGTTTCTTCACTCTGTTGATTACTTTGCTGTACAGAAGCTTTTTAGCTTACTGTAATCCCATTTGTTGATTTTCCTTTTCTTGCCTGTGCTTTTGAGGTCTTACTCCAAAAAATGTTTGCCCCAACACATGTCCTGAAGTGTTTCCTCAAAGTTTTCTCCCATTAGTTTTATAGTGTGAGGTCTGGGGCCAGGAATGTGGTTCACGTATGTAATTCTAGGACTTTGGGAGGCCAAGGTAGGAGGACTGCTTGAGGCCGAGAGTTCAAGACAAGTCTGGGCAACTTAGCAAGGCTATGCAGCGCAGCAGTTTCCAGCTTGTCCTGACTCTTCTTTCCTTTTCTTCCTGCCTGCTAGTCCACCTGACCAAGAGCAGCACTAGGCCCACTAGCAGATACCTTGACGGGAACCTACAGAGACAGCAGCTACTCTGAGGCAACTAACATCTCCTCACATTCCCACTTTGGTGGCCAAAAGTGCTTGGCTTCTCAGAAATTTCCTTTAAGATCTCACTTGCTCACCTATGCCAGTGCTTCAGGAGGACTGAGTAGTGACTCCTTTTCTGATCCTCTAACTCCCCCTTTTGGATCTTCACTTTCCTAGTTCCACTCATAATTGCGTAAGGTCTAATACCTACAGTAAATCCCTTTTCCGTAACACTCATATTGGTTCTGTTTCCCAGACTAAACTCTAAGGCAAGGCCAAAGCACAGAACATATCTTAGTCTATTTTGAGCTGCTGTAACAGAATACCATAAACTGGGTAGTTTATAAAGAACAGAAATTTATTTTCCTCACAGCTCTGGAGGCTGGGAAGTCCAAGATTGAGGAGCTGGCATCTTGTGAGGGCCTTCTTGCTGCATTATCCCATAATGGAAGGCAAAAGGGCAAGAGTGTAACAGGGGAACAAACCCACCCTTTCATAATGGCACCAATCCGCCCATGAGGGGACATTCAAACCACAGTAGATCACTTATTTTAAACTTACCTTCTAATACAGGCATACCTTTGAGATATTGTGGGTTCAGTTCCAGACCATCACAATAAAGTGAATATCACAATATTGATGATTGATTCCTTTGATCTATTATTTCTCTGAAAAGTCACCTCCTCCAGCAAGGCTTTTCCAAACTACTGTGACTGAAGTTTCATTATGCTCTCTACTATAGGAGCACTTTCATATCAGTTATCAACACCTGAAATTATTTTATTATGATCAACCATCAGAACTTCAACTTTTTTAACACAGAAATTCTGTCTTCTACATCACTGTATTCTCTAGTACCTAAAATTGTGACTGGCACATAGTAAGTGCTAATTAAAATATCTATTGAATACATGTATAGCTTATTGGACTACTGAGAATTACTAAAGAAACTAAAATCTGTCGACTAAACATAAAAGATAGAAGTTACAGAAAATGCTAATATATACTAAAACCTGATATTTTATGGAAATCCAACCTTATTTCACTACTAACATATTATATTCATTATCCAAATTAATGGTACATGCATGGGGAGATAATATTAACAGACTCTGCTCTTTGCTGCTAAATACTAGATATAATTCACATATTTCAAATTAAATATTATATTTTAATAATAGGATTAATGAGAATCATCAGTGAAAATCTATGGCAATTACATTTTTAAAAACAATTCAAATAACTTTTGTTATTAACAATTAATAGTAAGCGCATATAACAAAAAACCATTATTAGTGATTTAACTATTTTTAAATGAAAATGAGGTTTAGCATTATATTAGGAATGTACTATTAGATATTAGAAACCACAGATGTTTAGTTCTAAGTAAACTATTACTATATCCCATCAGCAAAGATATTAATGAACTAAGCTAAATGATGACTGATACTCTTTAAAGAAATGAAATCAATTAGCACAAGTGAAAAGCCAAAAAGTGACACTATAATTCACTTTCCCTACTTTAACTTACTAAACACTTTACAAATTAAAGAATTAGTCACTTTGTTAATGATGTATTTTACTTTAAAGATACTCATTGTGTCTACCAATCTTTACTTTTACCTTATGCACTAAGAGGATTTTTTTCTTTTATAGGAGACCGTATATGTCTTGGATAAAACTATCTATCACTGCTTGCCACATAGAATTTGAATTTGCAAGAGTTCGGAGAGTTGCCAAAAAAGTATTAAAATATGATGCTAAAACATTGGTTTCCTTTAAATAACTACAGACAATTCTAGAAATGGAAAAAAGGGAAGTATACATTTTAGACCCAAAATCACGTATATTTAAAAATCTTTCTTCATTGATTTTACTAAGAAGCAACTTTAGAAATAAAGCTATTTAATAAAGCGAAAATACTAAACAGTAAGTTTATAAAATTAAATGATCATATTGTAAATCACTGCCAGTTTTCCTAACAACTGTTTCCCATAAAATTACATTTATACACACAAAAAAAATGAGGAAATTTTCCCCTTGCAAATAACACATTTGGAGGCAGAAATGAGTAAATGATATTTGTATGCAAAATCAGTAAGGAGTACTCTGTAATGAAAATAATCCTGAGGCAGGTACACTTTTAAAAAATGTTTTAATTCTTTAATATACTTCTAAGTAACAATAACAGTAAGACATATAGTAAAATTTCTTATTCGAATAATTTTTTTAAAAAACCTTACATTAAAAAGTTTCTTTTAAAAATAATTCTTACGTTGTTAGTTCAAGTGAATCTTATTTTTATTTATTTATTTATTTATTTGAGACACTGTCTCACTCTGTCGCCCAGGCTAGAGTGCAGTGGTACATCTCAGCTCACTGCAACCTCTGCCTCCCAGGTTCAAGCAATTCTCTGCCTCAGCCTCCTGAGTAGCTGGGATTACAGGTGCCTGCCACTACGCCTGGCTAATTTTTGTATTTTTAGTACAGATGAGGTTTCACCATCTTGGCCAGGCTGGTCTTGAACTCCTGACCTCGTGATCTACCCACCTCGGCCTCCCAAAGTGCTGGAATTACAGATGTGAGCCACCACGCTTGGCTCAAGTGAATAATTCTTAAAAATTGAAAAACAATTACTTATTTCTCTAATATGCTTTTTAGTAGAGTACAGGAGTTGCTATGGTCTGAATATTTGTGTCCCCACAAAACTCACAGGTTGAAACCTTAATTCCCGAGGTATAGTATTAGGAAGTGGAACCTTTGGGGGATGATTAGGTCATAAGGGTCTCAGAGAGCTAGCTCGACCCTTCCACTAGGTGAAGACACAGCTAGAATGCACCATCTATGAACCAGTGAGTGGGCCCCTCACCAGACACCAAATCTGCTGGCACCTTGATATTGTATTTCCCAGCCTCCAGACTTAGAAGAAATAAATTTCTGTTTTTTATAAGCTATCCAGTCTCTGGTATTCTGAGAGAGCAGCCAGAATGGACTAAGACAGGAGTCAAGTGATCAGCACGGTGTAAAAAGTCAGGGATTTCCAGATTTCCTGAATAATTTTTAAATATAAAATTGTAAACTGTTAAGACCACTACAGTATCTTTTGTTTAAAAACATGCTATGTAAGGATGTATGAGTATTTGTATAAATAACAACAGCTAGTACATACAATAAGAATAGTATAAAAGGGAAGGGGAACAATGTAGGTGATGAAAGAGGGAGAGGAAGACCCTGGGAAGGAGGAAGAAAGTGTGAAGAGAAAAGAGAGAGAATATGCTTTAAGTTAATGTAGCTAATAAAAATTTAGATTGGACAATTTAAGAGAGTAATTCATTCTACAAAAAGCCTACTTATGGGGCAAATTAAATGCAAAGTTTCATTCCATCTATAATGCAATATTATTTATTCATAAAAATATCCATCCATACCTATTTTAAAGAAATACATCTACATAGTAAAATACAGTTTTGTAAAACTTTTGAGTTTACTAAGTCAGATCTAATTTTTTACTTGTAGCATCAATAAAATTTACTTCTGAACCAATAACAACTACAGGCAAGGGTCAACAATTTAGCTCCCTGAAATTCAGCATCCCTGAAATTCAATGGAAAGGATTTTCTAATAACATGATCACATTTTTAAACCTATTTAGGGCAACAGTTGGAAATATGTGATGAAGAAACTGAGTAAATTATACAGAAGTGCTCTTCTATATAATTTACTGAGAGGCCAAGGCAGAAGGATCGCTTGAGGCCAGGAGTTCAGGACCAGCCTAAACAACACAGCAAGACCCCCATCTCCACAAAAATTAAATGAAATTAGTAAAATTTAAAATTAGCTGAGTGTGGTGGCATGGGGCTGAGGTTCTAGCTACTTGGGAGGCTGAGGCAGGAGGAACACTTGAGCCCAGGAGTTTGATGCTGCAGTAAGCTATGATTACACCACTGCACTCCAAACTGGGTGACAGAAGGAGGCCCTGTCTCTAAAATACATAAATAAATAAATCACTAACTGGTGGTATAGTGAGGAGCTTATTTCTTCCAAAATATATGAAAAATATTACTGGTCATGACTAAGAAAAGTGTCTCTGGAGTCTTCAAGTTAGAGAAAATAATTTTTTCCCAATATAATTCTCCTATTCCACATAAGTCTTATAATCCAACCTGTAGAAAGTTGCCATGCACTGTGACTTACTACTTTGTATAATCTAGTTCTCAACCTTTTACACTCATGTGTGCAAGAAACTCTCAATACCTCTCATTACACGCAGTGATTTTCAACATACTATAAAGGAGCTGATTAAAAGTGAGGTCACTTTATGTATGAGGAAATACTATTCTCTGAGTTACACGGTTCAAATAACTCACAAAACGATCTACACAACATCAAAGTGCAGATGGGGTACACAAGTAAAACCTACTATCAGCTACAAATTCATAAAACTTGGAACTTCCAGGAAAAATCAAGCAAATATAAAGAATCTGAATTTAAAAGCCAACTAATACAATAAAAAAGTAATTTTTAAAAGCCTGATTAATTTTTCAATTAAAATACTCAGATAATACTACACACTTGAGAACTTTTAGTAATTAAAATAATGGCTTTTAAAACTTACTTACAACTGTTTAATGAGAACAGGTGACTAGAGAAGCATTTTATACCACAGATGATTAAATGGACTCACCTTGTTAAGAGGTCAGGAAAAAATAAGTAAAAAACAAGTACAGTGAGTTAACAGGTCAGTAAAGTAATTTGGAAAACTATACATACTTCAAGAAAATTTTATACATTTCCAAAAACACTAAATTTTAAGCTTTTTAAGTCTTCAAAAATACTCTAAAATGTTTTATTTAAAAGATAAAAGTAGAAATTACTCTTAAAAATCAATAAAGTAAAATTTTGAGATACAAAATGGTATACTGGGGGTAGGGGGAGTTTTCTTTTTAAAAAATAATAATGATGGCTGGGCACGGTCCCAGCACTTTTGGAGGCCAAGGCAGACAGATCACGAGGTCAGGAGATCGAGACCATCCTGGCTAATACGGTGAAACCCCATCTCTACTAAAAATACAAAAAATTAGCCGGGCGTGGTGGTGGGCACCTGTAGTCCCAGCTACTCAGGAGGCTGAGGCAGAAGAATGGCGTGAACCCAGGAGGCAGAGCTTTCAGTGAGCCAAGATTGCGCCACTGCACTCCAGCCTGGGCGACAGAGCGAGATTCCATCTCAAATAATAATAATAATAATAATAATGACTAAAAGAAACTCATGAAGTTTAATATCAATGTGAAAAATTACTACAAAATGATTTTAGCCCCACTTGTTAAGAAACTATTATACATTATTATATGCTGTTTCTTTTCTAGTACACCAAATAATCATTTGATATTAAGTGCTTTACATTGTAAATGAGCTAGTTTGTTTATTTATTTATTTATTTTAGACAGGTCTCACTCTGTAGCCCAGGCTGGAGTGCAGTGGAATGAACATAGCTCCTTGCAACCTTGATGTCCTGGGCTCCAGCGATCCTCCCACCTTAGCCTCCCAAGTAGCTAGGACTACAAGTGCACACCACCACATCTGGCTAATTATTTTTTTTTTAATTTTGTATGGAGATGGAGTCTCACCATATTGCCCAGGCTGGTCTCAAACTCCTGGGCTCAAGCAATTCTCACATCTCAGCCTCCCAAAGTGCTGGGATTACAGGTGTGAGCTAATGGGCCCAGCCCTAATTTGTTTTTAAATCCAAAAATAAATCAACAATAGAAGCCAGCACTCTTTTAATATTTTAAAATATTTTCTGCATAGTTTCCCCAAATATTAGCATTCTAATTGTGACCAGCATTATACCTTTTAATGAGTCTAATCCAAGTAAATAATAAACAAATGATCATGAAAACTGTGAGAAATAATCATTGGTGTATGCTCTATAAATAGTTACCAAGTTTACCTTTAAATGGCATGTTTAGTTTTTCCTTACAACTTAACACTAGATACAGGAAACTCTAGAACTCATAAACAAAGACTAAACAAAATCCCCTCTTCCTGCCAAAATGTGTACATAATTGCAGTAGACTTGTGCTGAATATACATATATGTTACATACATGTCTCTTATTCTATACAAAATCTCAGCAAATATTTTCCCACAGAGCAGGAAGAATTTTTTCTCTCAAATGGAAAGTTTTTGCTCGTTAAAAAGGTTATATTAAATAGCCCTAAAGAAATATGTTCTGAAAATAACAATTGTATCATATTCCACTTATTATTTTCCATATGAAAACATCAATAAAATAAGTTTACCAGAGTCAATAAGCCTGTTCAATGAACACTGAAAAATACAAATTTATCCAGAGTGATTACAAATGAAAATGTGTGCTATTTCAAAATTACATGCACCTCTTTAAAAATCAGGGCAATTAATAGAGCGCTTAAATCATATTAGCTGAGTTCAAATTTGGCCCCTAAACAATACTTAAAATTTCCTTATTCCTTTATACTATTTTACAAAATAATAAATTACTTGATTATCATAATTTTCTTTTGCTACTTATTTCAAACTGTAAAGTCAGGACTGCAAACTGATGTAGGAATCTTATATTATTGGTCTACACCTAATTATTTATAAACATTAATGGACACAACACCGTTCCAATCCACTACAACAATTTTCTTCTATTTTACAAGTAAGAACTTCTAACCTATCACAACAACAAATCATATTTTAAATTTGGGTTTGAAAACATGTATTAGAGGCACATTTTTAAAAACAAGTACAGTAGGAAATCCTGCTTTTCAGTGAGCCAGTGAATTTCTGTTTATTTGTATTTATGAATATTTGGTTTACTTCCTTCTTCTGGGTAAGATTAGTATGCAATTCTCCTTCTTTAGCAAGTCAAAAACCTACAGACCTTAACTATATGAAAACTTAATTTGGTATTGTTAGATGAAGACAGTTAAGCTAGCACCAAAAGAATAACTGTACTAAATTTTAACACTATTCATTAACAATTCCATTTTCCTGAGTTTGCGTTTGTTCTTTGGCATTGGTTTAGGATATAATCCATTTTTCAGAAGGTGTTCCTTGCTGAGGCGAATTTGGGCACCATGCTGAAGTTGAAAGGAGCATAAAGCTTGAAGAGGGCGAAGCAAAGTCTGTCAAGAGAAAAAAGACACTAAAAAAGTATCTGTGACAAATCATGATATTCTATCTATATTTTTCATTCAGAAATAGGAGTTACTATGTTTCTTTTATTATGATTGGCTTTTAACTATGAGAAACACTAGGCACTCTGATAAATATATAATTATTTCTAGATAAATAATGTCTTTAAAATTCATGCCTTAATATTACACTAAGGAATTTTATTAAAAAGATACAAATACTGATTTTCCACATAGGTAATAAAGTCTGGCATTAGTTTTATACATTATTCAAACACCACAAAAAATTGTTGCCATTATAATTGAATCCATAACAAGGAGACTAAATGAGACATTTAAATACAAAGATAAGTACACCAAAATAGTCAATTCAGTTTCTATGACAAATTAATGCAAGCTTACTGACACCTGACAACAATTAGATGATGGCAGCAATGGGTAAACGGTTTGCTATTTCTCTCACATTAGTGCCATGGACCACATACAAGTTAGATGCCCAGGTCTTGGTGCGTTTGAAATTATTCTAACAATATCTGAACTGTCTAAATTCAAATACCTATAGGCCAGCCATGTAACAGAAACACGTAAACTGGGTGGATCTTTACAAGCCAACAGAGAATAGTGGCGGCTGTAATACAACTGGAGTATACGCTCTACCTGAAGTTATTCAAATTCAAAAATTAAAAAAAAAACAACACTATGCCAGTGTTTTAAACATATTTTGGGTGAGATTCCTTCCTTGGGCCTGAGACCCCTGATGAAGATATTTTCAAAAATAACAGCAAAAAAACTTAATTAAACAGATTGTTAAAGGAGCACAAAAGAAACAAAGAAAAAACTGATAGATTTAACTACAAAAAATTCACAATGTCTACGTGAAAATGTATTAACCCACAAAGAAAACCCCACATGAATTAACAAATGTAGTAAGGGTTCTCTTACATGCGGCCAAATATCATTCCTAACTATAATACACACTCTCACATCTGTAATCCCAGCATTTTGGGAGGCTGATGCACAACATAAGTGGTAGAAAAAGGGCTTAATAGCTTTAATTTATAATGAAATTAAATTTATTTATTGTGATAGTCACTAGTAGTTGCTTCTTCGTATTATTTTCTCCCTTATTAAAATAATTCAAATTATATTCAAGGTAGCAATGTGTCCAGCTACTAATATTACATTCACTAATGACCCAATCTATCCAAGAAGATGTAACTAGAAGTCCTTGGATGGGGCTTCTAGAGATACTCTTTAAAGGGGACAAACTTAGCAGGCATAGGTTTTTGTCCTTTTTTCCTGCCTAGAAAATAACTGTTGAAGGTAGGACAAGCATCATGTGACTACTAGGCAACAAACATGAAGATTAAAGCCAAATACAAAAGATGATGGACAGAAAGAAAAGAAAACTTGTCCCTGAATTCTTTTTCAAGCTGCATTCCCAGTCAGGACTGCCCACCTCAGCATTTCTGATTTACAGGAGAAAAAGAAAACCCCATGTGAATTAACCACTGCAGTAAGGGCTCTCTTACATGCAGGCAAATATAATTCCTTACTGTAATATACACCCCCACATCTGTAATCCCAGCATTTTGGGAGGCTGATGCAGGAGGATTGCTTGAGCCCAGCAGTTTGAGACCAGCCCAGGCAACATGGCAAGACCCTGTTTCTATTAAAAAAAAAAAAAGAAAATAGAAAAAATTAGCCAGACATGGTGGTGTGCACCTGTGGTCCCAGCTACTCGGGAGGCTGAGGCAGGAGGATCGCTTGAGCCTGGGAGGTCAAGGCGGCAGTGAGCCACGATCATACCACTGCACTCCAGCCTTGGTGACAGAATGAGAAACTTTCTTCTTCCTCTTTTTTTTTTTTTTTTTTTTTGAGATGGAGTCTTGTTCTGTCACCCAGGCTGGAGTGCAGTGGCACAATCTCAGCTCACTGCAACCTCCGCCTCCTGGGTTCAAGTGATTCTTCTGCCTCAGCCTCCCAAGTAGCTGGGACTATAGGTGCATGCCACCATGCCCAGCTTATTTTTGTATTTTTAGTAGAGACGGGGTTTCACCATATTGGCCAGGCTGGTCTCGAACTCCTGACCTCGTGATCCACCTGCCTCGGCCTCCCAAAGTGCTGGGATTACAGGTGTGAGCCACCGCATCCGGCCCAGAATAGAAATGAAAGAAAAGAAAGAAAAGGAAGGAAGGGAAAGGAAGGGAAAGGGAAGGGAAAAGGAAGGAAGCGAGGGAGGGAGGGAGGCAGGGAGGGAGGAAGGGAGGAAGGGAGGAAGGAAGGAGAGAGATAGAAAGAAAAAAGGTAAATATCTTGGAAAGGCTCTGCACAATATTATTGTAGAAAACTCCTTATGCATGTTCCCGTAATTTATTTTAATGAGGAAAATAAGAGAGGGAATGCTAAAATAACTATATATGACTTTACGTACTTTACAGAGTCACCACAGTGGACTGTATTCTGAAACACTGAACCCAGGAAACATACCTAGGATGACATACAGACCAAGACAACTGAAGATTCTATTGATATTTTATGACATTTATTATATTCTTGTAAACAGAAGAAAACTCATATTCTTATGGTCAAAAGATTCCAACTTTTACATCCTGAAGATAAGATTCTATCAATTTACTGAGGTAATGAAGAGAATGAATTTTGGAAACAGGCAGATCTGGATTAGATCCCTACTCCATCTCTGTTGGTACTCCCTACAGCTGTTCACAAATAGGCCAGCCTCCTTCCTGATACATGAGCAGATTGGCATTTTCTATCCCTTTTCAAATTTAGGCACAGCCATATAACTTGCTTTGGTTAATGAAATGTGAGTACAACTAATACGTGTCACCTTAGGGCAGAAGCATTAAAAGTGGTATAGGATACACCACCTTCCTTGCTCCTTCCTTGATGAAAGTGGGATGAATTATCTAGATAGTTCCTCCATCAGGTTGGGTGCCTGAGTGACTGCAAATCAGCAGAGGTCCTCAGGGTAATCCCACTGGACAAACAGCATGAGAGATGCATAAACTTTTGTCATCTTATCTGATTTCAACTTCAGAGTTTTAAAGTTGTAGCCTATCCTAGTAAATCCTTTTTGCTGCATGTGAAAAGTGACAGTTTTCAAGGAACCATTACTACCAACTGCAGATATTGGGTAGAGCCAAAACATTCAGGTTATAGCAGGAGGTTTTGCCACATCTATCTTTAAAAATTCCTATGATAAAACTTCGTAAGTAGAAAAGGTTCTGTAATAAAAAAGAACCCCAAGCTAAAGGCTTCCAAGGTATGAAAAGTCCTGGTAAATACTGTAGTAGCTAATGAAAGCCACTATCTTTTAGTTCAGACTTTCTTTTGCCAATCTACAGGCAAAAATTAGAGAGGAAAAGAGGGGCAAGAGGATTAACTCTTTTTGAGTGCCTGTGTTGACAACTGTGGCGATTACTCATTATTATCTCAGTTCTTGAAATACTATGAGGTAACATTTTGTATATTACAGATAAGAACACAAGTACAAAAAATTATGTGGTCTGCCCACTTGCAAAAAGTGATGATAATAAGTTGTAATTCAAAACTACTTCAAAATCCACATTGTGCTACTTTCATGTAGCCATGCTTTCAGGTGCTTGAAAAACTGCTCTAGAATAAAGAGTGAGGATGAGACAACAGATTAACAAAGCTATTCTGTGCCAAGTTCTTTATTTTGAGGAACCCTGCCTCTATAGAATGAAGCCAAGTGAAAATTTACTCTTCTCTGGCAGGCACAGTAGCTCAGACCTGTAATTCCAACATTTTGGCAGGCGAAGGCAGGTGGATCGCTTAAATCCCCTAGGAGTTCAAGACCAATCTGGGCAACTTGAGACTCCCCCCGCCTCTCCCATCTCTACAAAAAATACAAAAATTAGCTGGGCATGGTGGTATGCACCTGTAGTCCCAGCTACTTGGGAGGCTGAGGTGGGAGGATCACTTAAACCCAGGAGGCAGAAGTTGCAGTGAATCAAGATCATGCCACTGCACTCCAGCCTGGGTGACAGAGCAAGACTCTGTTGGAAAAGAAAAAGAAAAAAGAAAAAGAAAAGTGAAGGAAAGTGAAGCAAAGAAAAGAGGAAAAAGAAAAAGAAAATTTACTATTCTCCCCCACCATCTTAAGGTTTTATTAGAATGCCCCTGATAAAAGGTTATTGGGAAAAAGTGTATGTCATCACTTTCCTCCCCAGGAGGGAAAGAAAACACCTATGTTTAGGGCAGACTGATACTGCATTTCACAAAGATGCTAATTTATTATCGCAACTAGATGCTAATTTTTTTCTCATAACTAGATTTGAAAAGGCTGGATGTGGGGTTCCCCCACTAAGAAAACAGCTTTCACTATAAATTGTGGCTGGAAGCAATTTTTGCCATCTGTAATAATAAGCAACTTGAGATGTTTTATTATGTATTTCTTCTGCTCACTCTCCCACCATGTTATCAGTACCTCCCAAATCCCAGGTTTGACTGTCAAATATCCTTTTTCTACTCCTGGCCACTGCAGTACAATTACTCCTGGCAACCAAAGCAAGCAGAATGAGGGCTCTAAGACCTCACTATTACTTTGGGACTTTATGTTTAATTTTATCTACAGACAACAATAACAAAAGCTGAAGAGATAATGGGTCCTGTCACCATTCTGTTGTCTTAAACTTTGCCTTTTGTTAGATATTACACTCAGAATGTATTTTGCAAGTCTCAAGTTGTCACAATAAGGATTCCTTTTTTTTGTTTGTTTGTTTTTAAGATATCACATCACAAAGCACAATCTAGCAAGATTCAAGTCAGCCTGTGGCTTTATGTCATCAATAAATGCCTCGGGTTATATAAAACAATAGAAGTAATGAAAGAATGAAAAAATGCTGATGGAGAAGAGGCCCTAAAACAACGTAAAGTTGTCCTAACTATATAATGTTATATCATTTTTTCAAAAAGTTCCTCATTAGTTAACTTTGAAAGAATTCACTCTAATACTTTGTTGAGTCTAGAACATTTGTAAAATAAAGCCTGAAACATTCTTAGCTAATAGGATTCCTAATATAATGGTATATTGATTTTTAAATTTATCTTTTTTTACAAGTAGATGGTATATTAATTAATATAATGTACAAAATAATATAAAATTGGAGAGAAGGGAGCACCAGCAGAATTAGTAGTAGTAGTAGTACAAACCCTATCCTTAACTGTAACCCTATTATTCTACAACCACTATTACCATAACCACCACCATTACTAACATTAAAGGTTATATTTAGGATTGCAGTAAAGATCCAATTCCAGTTGTGGGAATAAGAGATATAAGTCCACAGAGAATTCTTTCCAGAACCCAAAAGGGGAGAAAAGTAAGCTTTAAATCTATAGCTAAGGAATATACTTTTCCCTCAAAATTTGAACTTTCAATGGGTCCTTGTTTGGTCTGATGTTGTCTGATCCTAGAGTTTTACATCAACAAAAAAGAAAACGCAGAGACTGTAGAGAAAGCAAGTTTAAACAACAGCACTGGGTTACATAATTCTATTAAGACACCTGTGAAAAGTGTGTATGTATATATATTTGCTTAAGAATATACAGAGATGATGGTAAATAAAACAGAAAGACACATATGGGGTATATAAAGTACTATGTTTATGGCTAGGGACATGGGAGTAGGTGACATGGTTAGAGGAGATGGAAAGGTGTCTGAGAACACTCCCTGCTCATTTAAAGTAAGAATCTATGTTCCTTCATGAATTTTTTTTCAAAAGCAGAGAAAGTGAAATTGCCTAGACCCTAAACAAAGTCTACTCAAACACACAGGCACACACACACACACACACACACACACACACACACACACACACACATACACACGAAAATCCTAGTTTTTTCAAAAGAAGAAAAGTCTCCAACTCTGACATATTCCACAGCTTAGGGTAGAGGAGAGGAAAAAAGTAATTCAAGGCCTGCTTCTAACATTCTTTAACACTCCTTGCTTTTGCTATCTTTTTGTTCTCTTTAGGATTAATATCTTGGTAGCTAATACATTTACTCTGAACTGAGCTTTCATCTATTATTGAAATTTCCTTCGTGTTTAAGGCATACTCATAACTGTAACCATAATGGATAATGAGAAAGAAAGAAGGCAGGAAAGAGTACCTCTTTCGCGTGTGTATGTGCGTGTGTGCATCCATGTGTTCATGCTGTGTTTTGAAGGGGGAGTTATAAATCCCTTTTAGTTGTGCTCATTATCCTCTGACTTTCTTCATGAGTTGTATTTATCAAAACTTTTCAATAATTAAAAAACCCTAACAATTTAGGTTTTATTTTACTATTTTTTCTTTTGCTACAAATGCTGTTTCTTGCATGTTCCAAAAGACTGAGATGTTAGTAAGCACACTGAAACATTATTCTTTGCTGATGATTATTAATTATATATGAAATCATCATGCTTTCATAGAAATTAAATGAAATAATTGCAGGTTATAATACTTTCATATTCTCTAGGCATTTTTTTTTTCAAGAAAAATGTCTTTTTTACATTCTAAGCAAGGTTAACACGAGAAACAGAAAGTTAGTATACGGCACCAAGGCAAAAATAAAAATGTTGCTATAGAATGTTCTTTTAACCAAAAAGAAGAAAAGGCTGAGCACAAGAGAACACAAAATACCAAAAAGAGAAGAGAAAACACTAAAAGAAAAATCTAGCCAAAAAACTACTTAATGTTGTGCTACTTAAATGTAATTTAGCATATTACAAATGCTGTTTGCACAGTTTAGTATGAATATTTAAATAATATAATCTGGAATGCTAAACACACACACAGAAAAACACCAGAGAGGAAACAAGGTTATAAAAGTACATAAATTTCTAACACAGAAGATTCTACTTGTCACATGAGTTACAAATTTAACAAGCATGTCTAAATCTTCTAGGTAAAATCTAAGAAAACTCCCACTTTGAAAAACTATAACCTTACAAAGACGTACCTCTTGTATGTAATTATTTTTCTCCAAGATGGAAAGAGCAACAGCTGCACACTCCAGTGTAGAAAGGCATCTATTAGTCGGCTGCATCCGAATTACATACTGACTAGAAATGCTAGTTTTTAATTGCACCTGAAATCAAAAACAAAATAGAACATAATTTTTGTTTTAAATTTAAAATTATAAAGTTTGTGTTTTAAATACTAATTACTTTCCTTCCAAAACTGCCAGCAGCTTAGAAGTACTAAATGTGTCAATATCTTTTATGTATAACATCCTTTTGTTGCAATTGTTAAATAGTAGAAGATAGCTATATAGAAGAAGACATATCCACAATATATACAACCAAAATAAAAAGACTAATAATCCCCTTGCAGTAAAGAGTGAATATACACTTCACAAAAGAAGTTATAAGAATGGCAAATAGGTACACAAAAAAGTGTTCAACATGATCTAATGTAAATTAAAACCACAATGGGGTAACATTTCACACTCAACAGAGTAGCTAAAATAAAAAAGGCTGCAGCTAAAATCAAAAAGGCTACAAGGCTACAGTAACCAAAATAGCAAGGTACTGGTACCAAAACAGATATATAAACCAATGAAACAGAACAGAGGCCTCAGAAATAATGCCACACATCTACAACCATCTGATCTTTGACAAACCTGACACAAACAAGCAATGGGGAAAGGATTCCCTATTTAATAAATGGTGTTGGGAAAACTGGCTAGCCATACACAGAAAACTGAAACTGGACCCCTTCCTTAAACCTTATACAAAAATTAACTCAAGAGGGATTAAAGACTTAAGCATAAAACCTAAATCCATAAAAACCCTAGAAGAAAACCTAGGCAATACCATCCAGGACACAGGCATGGGCAAAGACTTTATGACTAAAACACCAAAGCAATGGCAGCAAAAGCCAAAATTGACAAATGGGATCTAATTAAACTAAAGAGCTTCTGCACAGCAAATGAAACTATCATCAGAGTGAACAGGCAACCTACAGAATGGGAGAAAAATTTTGCAATCTGTCCATCTGACAAAGGGCTAGTATCCAGAATCTACAAGGAACTTACACAAATTTACGAGAAAAAAGGAAAACAACCCATCAAAAAGTGGGCAAAGGATATGAACAGACACATCTCAAAAGTATACATTTATGTGGCCAACAAACATAAGAAAAAAATCTCATCATCACTGGTCATTAGAGAAATACAAATCAAAACCACAATGAGATACCACCTCACTCCAGTTGGAATGGTGATCATTAAAAAGTCAGGAAACAATATATACTAGAGAGGATCTGGAGAAATGGGAACACTTTTACACTGTTGGTGGGACTGTAAACTAGTTCAATCACTGTAGAAGACAGCGTGGCAATTCCTCAACGATCTACAACCAGAAACACCATTTGACCCAGCAATCCCATTACTGGGTATATACCCAAAGGATTATAAATCATTCTACTATAAAGATGCATGCACACATATGTTTATTGCAGCATTATTCACAATAGCAAAGACTTGAAACCAACCCAAATGCCTATCAATGACAGACTGGATAAAGAAAATGTGGCACATATACACCCTGGAATACTATGCAGCCATAAAAAAGGATGAGTTCAAGTCCTTTGCAGGGACATGGCTGAAGCTGGAAACCATCATTCTCAGCAAACTAACACAGGAATCGAAAACCAAACACCACATGTTTTCACTTGTAAGTGGGAGTTGAACAATGAGAACACATGGACATCAGGAGGGGAACATCACACACCAGGGCCTGTTGGGGGGTGTGGGGGCTATGGGAGGGATAACATTAGGAGAAATACCTAATGTAGATGATGGGTTGAGCAAACCACCACGGCACGTGTATACCTATGTAGCAAACCTGCACATCCTGCACATGTATCCCAGAACTTAGAGCATAATAATAATAAAAAAGAAAATGAAAAAAAATAAAATAAAATAAAAAATAAAAAATGGGGAAAGAACTCCCTAGTCAATAAATGGTGCTGGGATAACTGGTTAACTATATGCCAAAGAATGAAACTGGATCTCTACATATCACCATACACAAAAATTAATTCAAGATGGCCAGGTGGAGTGGCTCACACCTGTAATCCCAGCACTTTGGGAGGCCGAGGCTGGCAGATCACTTGAGGCCAGGAGTTTGAGACCAGCATGGCTCACATGGTGAAACCCTGTCTCTACCAAAAATACAAAAAAAAAAAAAAAAAAACATTGCCAGGTGTGGTGCATGCGCCTATAATCCCAGCTACTTGGGAGCCTGAGGCAGGAGAATCACTTGAGCTCTGGAGGCAGAGGTTGCAGTGAGTCAAGATGGTACCACTGCACTCCAGACTGGGTGACAGAGCCAGACCCCACCACAAAAAAAAAAAAAAAAAAAAAAAAAAAAAAAAATTAATTCAAGATGGATTAAAGATTAAAATGTAAGGCCAAGGACTATAGAAATCCTGGAAGAAAACCTAGGTAATACCCTCTGGATATCAACCTTGGCAAAGAATTTATTACTAAGTCCTCAAAAGCAACTGCTACAAAAGCAAGAGTTGGCAAGTGGAATCTAATTAAACTAAAAAGCTTCTGCAAGGAAAAAGAAATTATCAACACAGCAATCCGAAAACCTACAGAATGGGTGAAATTATTTGCAAACTATGCATCCAACAAAGCTCTAATATCCAGAATCTACAAGAAGCTTAAACAAATTTCAAGCAAAAAACAAAGAACCCCATTAAAATGTGGGCAAAGGATGTGAAAATACATTTTTCAAAAGAGGACATACATGTGGCCAACAAGCAGATGAAAAAATGCTCAGTATCATTAATCTTTAGAGAAATGCAAATCAAAACCACAATGGGGCTGGGTGCAGTGGCTCAGGCCTGCAATCCCAGCACTTTCGGAGGCCGAGGTGGGTGGATCACATGAGGTTGGGAGTTCAAGACCAGCCTGGCCAACATGGTGAAACCCAATCTCTACTAAAAATACAAAAATTAGCTGGGCATGGTGGTACACATCTGTGGAGAATCACTTGAACCTGAGAGGCAGAGATTACAGTGAGCCAAGATCATGCCACTGCACTCCAGCCTGGGCAAAAGAGTGAGACCCTATCTCAAAAAAAAAAAAAAAAAAAAGAAAGAAAAAACTATCAGGGTAACCCACCCCCAATATTTCAACATAGGTTCTTTCTATTTTCCTTAAATGTCGGCTGGTCTGAGAAATAAAGAGAAAGAGTACAAAGAGAGGAATTTTACATCTGGGCCGCCGGGGGCAACATCACATATCGGTAGGACCGTGATGCCCACCTGAGTCACAAAACCAGCAAGTTTTATTAAGGATTTCAAAAGGGGAGGGGGTGTATGAACAGGGAGTAGGTCACAAAGATTACATGCTTCAAAGGGCAAAAAGAACAAAGATCACATGCTTCTGAGGAAACAGGGCAAGGACAAAATCGGGAACTCCTGATAAGTGTCTATGTTCAGCTGTGCACGTATTGTCTTGATAAACATCTTAACAGAAAACAGCGTTCGACAATGAGAACACATGGACACAGGAAGGGGAACATCACACACCGGGGCCTGTTGTGGGGTGGGGGGAGGGGGGAGGGATAGCATTTGGAGATACACCTAATGTTAAATGATGAGTTACTGGGTGCAGCACACCAACATGGCACATGTATACATATGTAACTAACCTGCACATTGTGCACATGTACCCTAAAACTTAAAGTATAATAAAAAAAAAAAAAAGAAAAAAGAAAACAGGGTTCAAGAGCATAGAACAGGTCTGACCTCAAATTTACCAGGGCTGGGGTTTTCCCAATCCTAGTAAGCCTGAGGGTACTGCAGGAGACCAGGGCATATCTCAGTCCTTATCTCAACCGCAGAGGACAGACACTCCCAGAGTGGCGGTTTATAGACCTCCCTCCAGAAATGCAATTCTCTTCCTAGAGTATTAATATCAATATTCCTTGCTAGGAAAAGAATTTAGTGATATCTCTCCTACTTGCACCTCCGTTTATAGGCTCTCTGCAAGAAGAAAAATATGGCTCTTTTTGCCCAACCCGGGAAGCAGTCAGACCTTATGGTTGTCTTCTGTTGTTCCCTAAAATCACTGTTATTCTGTTTATTTCCAAGGTGCACTGGTTTCATATCATTCAAACACATGTTTTACAATCAATTTGTACAGTTAACGCAATCATCACAGAGTCCTGACGTGATGTACATCCTCAGCTTATGAAGATAAGAGGATTAAGAGATTAAAGTAAGACAGGTGTAAGAAATTATAAGAGTATTACTAAGGAAGTGATAAATGTCCATGAAATCTTCACAATTTATGTTCCTGTGCTGCGACTCCAGCTGGTCCCTCCGTTCAGGGTCCCTGAATTCCCACAACAAAAAATCACAATGAGATACCACCTCACACAAGTCAGAAGGGCTATTATTAAAAAGTCAAAAAATAGCAGATGCTAGGAAGAGGTTATGGAGAAAAGGAAATGTTTATACACTGCTTGTGGGAATGTAAATTAATTCAGCCACTGTCGAAAGCGGTGTGGTGATTTCTCAAAGAAATTAAAACCGAACTATCAATTGACCCAGAAATCTCATAACTGGATATATATATATATATCTAAAGGAATATAAATTGTTCTATCATAATGACACAGGTACTTGTATGTTGACTGCAGCACTATTCACAATAGCAAAGGCATGGAATCAATCATGATGGATTGAATAAAGAAAACGTGGTACATATACATCATGGAACACTATGCATTCATAAAAAAAAATGAAATCATGTCCTTTGCAGCAACATGGATGCAGCTGGACGCCATTATCCTATGTGAATTAATGCAGGAACAGAAAACCAAACCACATGTTCTCATATGTAAGTGAAAGTTAAGTACTGGGTACACATGGGCATAAAGACAGGAACACAGACACTGGAGACTACTAGAGAGAGGAGAGAGGAAGTGGGGCAAGTGCTAAAAAACTACCTATCAGGTATTATGCTCACTACCTGGGTAACAGTATCATTCATACCCTAAACCTCAGCATCACACAATATACCCATGCAACAAACCTGCACATATACCTCTTGATCTAAAATACAAGTTGAAATTGTTTTTTTAAGTTAAAAAATAACAGATGTTGGCAACGCTGCAGAGAAAAGGAGATGCTTATACACTGTTGTTAAGAATGTAAATTAGTTCAGCCTCTATAGAAATTAGTTTAGAGATTTCTCAAAGAAATGAAAATAGAACCACCATTCAGCTCAGCAATCCAATTACTGGCTATACACACAAAGGAAAATAAATCATTCTACCAAAAAGATACATGCACTTATATGTTCACTGCAGCCCTATTCATAATAGCAAAGACATGGAATCAACCTAGGTGCCCATCACTGGTAAATTGGATAAAAAAAATGTGGTACATTTGCATTATGGAATACTACACAGCCATAGAAAGAATGAAATCATGTCCTTTGCAGCAACGTGATGCTGCTGGAGGCCATTATCCTAAGCAAATTAATACAGAAAACGAAAATCAAATACTGCATGTTCTCCCTTATAATTGGGAGCTAAACAATGGGTACACACAGAAATAAAGATAGGACCCACAGACACAGAGGGGAGGAGGGCAAGGATTGAAAAACTACGTATTGGGTACTATGCTCACTACTTAGGTGACCCCAAATCTAAACGTCAGGCAATATACCCTTGTAACAAACCTGCACATGTACCCTCTGAATCTACGAAGTTAAAAATTTTTAATACTTAAGTTTAGGGGGTTTTGTGACTTTACTGGGGAAGAAGATGTGGGGATAAGGAGTGGAGAAAGGGACTGTTTAAGAAGGTTAAGCATTTGTGTTAAACAACTACTTTAATCATGTATTAACTTTTAGTTGGAAAATTTTAAATTGGTAAACAAGTATTATTAGTCATAATTTATATCTCTGGAGGAACTTTGGTAAGTTAATAAAGTTGAGGTAGCTCACTTACAGCATACAAATATTATAAAAATTACAAATTTAGACATTTTTTCACATTATGAAAAATGGAATACATTTCCATTTAATCTGAGAAATCTATAAAAAGTGCTTAGACTTTTGATCCAAATAAGAATTGTGTTTAATTTATAAAATATGTCATGCTTATCTAATCCTTTCCTAGGACTATTAAAGGATTGCTTTCTTTTATTCTATGCAACTGTAATCTTTTTTTAATAATGCAAAATCTGAAAACCTTATGTCAAAATATTGTCATTAATTTCTCTTAGGATACAGGAAAAATTCAACCAGAGCAAAACTTAGCATGTTATTGAAATCGACATCAAGAATATAAATAAATAATGTTTTCCAAACATTATGCCTCAATTTAAAGTGACATTTTTAGAGCACTCATTTAGAAAAAAAAAATTCTAAAGAGAATAAACATGTAATTTTTTAAATTATATAGTCATATAAGAAAAGTGGATGTTAAAAAGACCTTTTCTACAACCATTATATTTGTCTAATCACATACACACAAAAGCAAACACACACAAAAACATCAAAATGGAGATTTATTCTCCCACAAAAATGGAGATATACCATAATCTTCAAGGTAGTCAACTCAAGAAATAGGTATAAACTTGATACTATGGGAAACTAGTGTTTCATTATCAATTACATCATTCATATGTTTCTAAAATATTTCACATTCTATATAAAGTTATACTTTCTTAAAGATTTTACATTAATCATAGAAATATGGTTTTAATAACCATATAACTTATATGTTGTTCCTTTAAAATTAAAATGTTGACTGGGCACAGTGGCTCACACCTGTAATCTCAGCAGCAGGAGGCCGAGGTGGGAAGAGTTTGAGACTAGCCTGGGCAACAGGCCAGTGCCCAGGTATTAGCCATAGTTAGCCAAGCGTGGTGGCATGCACCTGTGGTCCCAGTTACTCGGGAGTCTGAGGCAAGAGGATCACCTGCGCCTGGGAGGTTCAGGCTGCAGTGAGCCATGACTGTGCCACTGCACTCCAGCCTGGATGACAGAGCAAAACTCTGTCTCAAAAAAAAAAAATAATCATCATCATTTTCGGACCTGTAACTTAGTGTAAATATGTAATTACAAGAAGTTGCGGTAAAACTTTTTACCGCAACTTCTTGTAATTACATATTTACACTAAGTTACAGGTCCTAAAAGAAATTCCAAAAAAAGACAGTGTCTTGCAGAGGCAGTGTCTTGCAGGCAAGGGATATTTATCGCACAGCTTTTAAAATTAACTTTTACTTAAAACAAGTGATATGGGAATTTTTAAAATTTTATTTATTTTCTTTATTTAGCCCATTCCTGTTGATTGCAGGCAACTGTTTGATAATACTGCATATAAATGGATACCAAGTATATTATACCAATAAAGAAAACACTAACCTAAATTTCGACTTATTAAAATACTGATGAAAGATAAAGATGTTCATCTGAAAGTCTGCAATGGGAGTAAATATTGGGCCTAGTGATTGGCAAGAATATCTTTAGTATCAAGACTGACATGACAGCTTAATAGGATAGCATATAACTCAAGGTTACCACCCTTGTTAGAAATATATTGTAAACATTTTGCATTTGTTATTTTACTTTCTATAATTATCTTTTCTAAACATAAAAAATGCATGTTAATTATTAAAGACTTACAAGATTTAGAAATGCATAATATAAAAAGTGAAGTGCCCTATAATATCACCAGCCAGAGAAAACGACTATTTACTTCAAGGTATTTACTTTTACAACACCTTAATTTTCAAAATATGATTACAAAATTTTTAATATTTATAAAATAGAATAGGTAATAGTTGAGTTAGGAAGTATAAGACTAAAACTGACATCCTTGAATCTTCTAATAACCATTTAAGAAACTGAATATATCCAAAATGACTGACACCGTCAGTATGCTCCTCCCAGTATACTCCAGAGAAAGAGAATCAAGATCCATCCAAGTTCACTTACGGATGTCCATAATAAAACAGTAAAAGTTCTCCTAATAAACCCCACCTTTTCTGAAATAGCCATTACTCTAAATTTTTAATAATTCTCTTACTTTTTGGTATCCTAAATAAGACAATTGTTCAATTTTGCCTATTTTTGAACTTTATAAAAATTTAGGTTATATATTCTTCTATAACTTGTCTTTTTAACACTGTTATCTCAGGTATTCATCCATATTATTCCTATAGCTGCAGTGTATTTATTTTATGTCTATCTTACAGTATCCCTGTCTGTGAATTTGCCACAATTTATGTATTCATTGAAATATTTGGGATCTTTAAAGTTATTTGCTATTATAAACAAAGTAATAAAAATTAACCTATCTTGGTCTAGAAGTACAAGAGTGTCACTACAGTACACCCCTAGGAGTGGAACTGATTTAAGTACTAGGTTAAGCACATTTGCAATATCATGAAACAAAGACAAACTGCGTTCCAAAGTAGTTACATTATATACACCCATCAGTTCTGAATAAGAGTTCCGTCTGTTCCATGTCATCTCCTACATTTAGTATTATCAGACTTTTAAAAATGTTTGCCATATTTTGTATTTTTCTTTACTAAATTAGTCATCAGTTTATAAAGCTATTTTATATCCTTTACCTTCACTCCATTGAGGCTTACTTTTTTTTTTTTTTTTTTTTTTTTGAGATGGAGTTTTGCTCTTTGTTGCCCAGGCTGGAGTACAATGGCGCAATCTCAGCTCACTGCAACCTCTGCCTCCTGGGCTCAAGGGACTCTCCTGCCTCAGCCTCCCAAGTAGCTGAGATTACAGGTACCTGCCACCACGCCCAATTAATTTTTTTTTGTATTTTTAGTAGAGACGGGGTTTCAACATGTTGGCCAGGCTGGTCTCGAACACCTGACCTCAGGTGATCTGCCCACCTCAGCCTCCCAAAGTGCTGGGATTACAGGCATGAGCCACCGCACCCGGCAGCTTAGATTTTTACTGTTCATGTTATAAACGAAGAAATGTAGATGCACACGTACACTTCCATTAAAAAAAAGTTTGAAAATTGTAAGCGATCTTAACAGCAGTCTCTACTCTGCCACTAACTAGATGAGTGAACTTTCCTATTCATGTGTGTGGGGGTGTGTATATGTGTGTGTTAAGCTTTTGTGGTTTTTTAAATTAAGTATAACCTCTATGTGTACATACGTATACATACATAATATAGCGTGTATAACTCTTAATATGTGTTGGGCTTGATATATTTTACAAAATGAAAATTTTTACTTTGGCCATATGTTGGGGGTTTTTTGCAGTTTCCTAATGACAAATGCTATTAAGACTTTTGTCATATGCTCATTGGCCATATATCGTTTTTTGTGAAATGGCTGTTTAAGTCTTTTACCCATTTTACAAAAATTGGGCTGTCTTCTTATTAATTTTTCGGAGTCTTTATATATTACAAATATCTTCTCACTGTGAATTATGCTTTCACTCTACTGTCTTTTGATGACTAGAAGTTATTGATTTTAATGAAACATAATTTATAAATATTTTACTTTATGGTTACTGCTTTTCATATTGTGTTTAAGGAATCTTAAACACCAAAGTCACCTAAAAGAAAAGGAAACAGTAACTAGCAGATACACAGTGCTGGGCATGTGCCTGTTCCCACTAGCCAGAGTGGAAAATCTGATGATTCACACAGTATTGAGTGAAGTACACAGAAGTCTTTCCTCTGTAGCAGAGAATAGGTAGCTCTAGAATTAACACTTGAAAAGTGGTTGTGCAACTGGACTTACTGCTTCCTCTTACATATCTGCCATCATCAAGCGACTACGCCTGGGATAGTTTACAGATGTATGAAAAGCAAGCAGAACAGAATTGAATCTTATCAGTGGCCTAACCAGCCTGTGCTCGTTATAACAGTAAACCAACCAAGATTAGCAGAACTGCCTAGAAGACACCCAACTGACCCCCATGTGGGAGCAATAAGCTTATTGTTATAATGCTACTAAGATTTTGTGGTTATTTGTCACACAACAGTATTGTGGCAATGTGTAACTGATACTTTCACATGGCAAAAAAAAAAAAGATTTCTTGCCTTAGAATGACTGCAGAGCTTTGCAATACTTCAAAATGAGATTTTCTGTCATTTAAAATAAGGGGGTTGATTTAGAGAAAAGGTACTCAATGGAATTTAAGGGTTTCAGAAAAGAATATCTATATTCAGATAAGCTATATAATTTCAATAAAAGCTTTCCCCACCCAAGTTTCTAATGTTGACACAGACCAGTACTTTAATAACACAAGAACTGTTTGAGCTGGTGAGAAGTCTCTCAGGAGAAAAGTGTGATTGTCTTTTCGGTGTCTGTTTTAGAATAGCATGTGAGTTAGAGGTTCTTCACCAACTCTTAAAAACTTTGTATTACTGAACTTTTCAAACATACCCAAAAGTAAAATAATATAATGAAGACCTATGTATGTATTATGCAGATTCCAGAATTATCAACATTTTGCCAATCCTGCCTGTTGTAACCCCTAGTTCCTTGCTCTTTTTTTAAAACTATATTAAAGCAAATTACAAACTTCTTGCTATTTTATTCCTATAAGCTTCTGTATACAAGCATAGGTGATTACTATTTAAAATCATTACCACACTTTTATTACACCTAACAGAATTAGCAATTATACCCTAGTATCATCAAACAAATTTCTCAACTGTCTCAAAACAAATACAGCTGGTATTTTCAAACTATGATCCAAACAAGGTCCACACATTGCAGTTAGCTGTTAGGTTTCTTAAGCCTCCTTTATACCATCCAATTCCTTCTTTTAAGTAAGAAAATTTCAAAGGTGATGTGCTGAGTATTTCCCATTGTATCACATTATGAAGTACATAATGTCTGGTCATCCCACCTTTAGTGGTGCTAAAATTCATCATTAGTTTGGATCAACACCCTGACCCCTCCATAATAAAGTTTTCCACCCACTCACCTAATGGTTGAGCATCTATTGATAATCTCTTCCTAAAACTATTATTTCAGCGGAGGATTGCATGACTATAATTTTTCTAAGTCTAGATTTCCTCGGTATCTAGCTGGAATTCTTGAAGGAAAAAAAAAAAAAACCTCTTCAAGTACCTGGTAACACTGAAATACAGTTTCTGTAGAAAAGGCAGGATAAATAAAGAGAAAGAATCACATATTCATTATTTTCAGATTAATGAGTTAATAATCTCATAAATGTCAATGAAGATCAATATTTGATTTTTCACTTATTTTTAAAGTATCATTTTAAAGTATCATAAAGTATTATGAATTAATGGCATATGTTTTACATGTTGCATATAGTATACATTTTTGAAATGTTTTGATCCATTCCAGACATTAATATTTTAGATACTCAAATTATCCCATCTTATGGATCCGTTCAATTGGCTCCTGCAGCCTTTTGCTATAATATCATTAGTTTTGATGTCTTCTTTGCCCCAGCACCAATAATTAGGTTCATTTGTTTCCTTTTATTTTTAATGACTGCCATTTTTATGTAAATGATTTATTAATATGAAATAGTCACACAGTTGCATAGTCAAATTGTGTAATAAGATAAGCTTATAGAAGTTTGGTTTCAAGGTCTGTCCCCTCTACTTATTGCTTTCCTCCCTCATAGGTAACATTTTTGGTTTGCCTGACTACCACTTTTTTATAAAAATAGGAATAAATACTTAGTATATAAAAATATAGGCCAGACACCATGGCTCACACTTGTAATCTCACCACTTTGGGAGGCCAAGACAGGAGGATCACTTGAGCCCAGGAGTTCAAAACCAGCCTAGGCAACATGATAAATCCCTATCTCTACAAAAAACACAAAAATTAGCCATGTGTGGTAGCATGCACCTGCAGTCCCAGATACGTGGGGAGCTGAGGTGGGAGGATAGCTTGAGCCCAGGAAGTTGAGGCTGCAGTGAGCCATGATCATTCCACTGTACTCCAGCCAGACTATTACAGAGTGAGACCCTGTCTCAAAAAATAAATAAAAATATATATAAATATATGTTATATTAGTTATACTGCTATAACTCATTATATATTATATAAAAGCATAGTATGTTTATAATATGTATTGTATTTATTAATATATTATAATCTTAAATGAATATATCATATAAATTAACATGGCTTTCTTACACAAAATGTATGCTATAAACATTGTTCTGTACCTTGCACTTTTCATTTAAATTACTCTTAAAAGTATCTAAATATCATTCCTTTTCATATTTTTTATATTTCTTTTTATAATAGTATAATACTTGATTGTATAGCTATACCATAGTTTATTCAAACAGTCCACATTTTTGATATTTGGGTTGTTTTTCTAGTCATTTGCTATTTTAAGAAAAATAATAAATAGCTTTGTGTTAATCTTCCTGCTGGAATCCTAGGGATGGCTGGGTCAAAGGGAAAATTTATGTAAATATTCATTAAATATTATCAAGTTACCCTCAATAGAGTGGTAACATTTTGCATTCCTACAAACAATACATGAAAGCACAAGTTTCCCCACAAGTTCATAATAGAGCATATTGTTTAGGACTTTTGACAATCTGTTAGGTCAGAAATGGTATCTCAGTATAATTTTAATATGCAGTATTCTTGTTAGGACAGAGGTTGAGCCTCCTTGCCATATATCTAAGGGCTCATTTAAACTTATTTTTTTCTTTGTCTATTAATATCTTCTGCCTATTCTTC
This sequence comes from Homo sapiens, assembly GCF_000001405.40. Lineage (NCBI taxonomy): Eukaryota > Metazoa > Chordata > Mammalia > Primates > Hominidae > Homo > Homo sapiens. The sequence goes on from NC_000005.10 coordinate 118,860,845, forward strand.
TATAAGATTAATGGTCTTTTCACTTTTAGAAATGATTTTGCATTATATAAGTCGCAAATTTTTTTCCTGGTTTATCTCTTGTCTTTTGACTTTAAATCCACATCCATTTTGGGGTAAGCTAAGTGCAAACTGCCTCCATTTCTCAATAGTTAAGTCAGGATGAGAATTCATTTGTATGCATGACTTCATTGCTTTACACTAGAATTGGGCTTTAAAGGACAATTTTCTCTAATTACTAATTAATGTTTGAAAATGCCTTCACATAGAAGGGTTCTAAAAATGAAATGATGGTTGTTGCTAAATGTCTCCCAATGGTTACCTGGATTAGAGTTAAATCATTTAAGCAGACATTGTGCAATGCAGTTTTTATTGGTGGGTTCACCTGGAAGTTACTTAGCCTAAAGTTTGATGTTCTAATGATACCATGAGATTGAAGTTTATGATTAGAGTAAGCATTTGGTGAAGCCCACTTAAAAGATGTCCAAACTAAAATAGTTTCATTCTTGGGGCTTCATCTACCCATTTCAACAGTGCTGAAAGCAGGTACAGAAATTTAAAAATTTTCCCTGAGGCAAATGTTGGCCCTGCTCAAAGGTATTAAAGTATTATCTTTATTTGTCCTACTTACAGAGGTAGCATAGCCTTCTACTGCAATAGCTGCCCTATAAGATCCTCAATCTCACCCTCAGTTTGGCTGATAACCCAAATACATAGGTTTTAACGAAACTGATTTTTTTTTAAAAAAGAATACTTTCAAACTCACTATTTCTCAGTATTTTTTTCTTTCAATAAACATTTATTGAGTACCAACTATGTGCCTGGTACCTAGAAAAGAGACTGGGATAAGGCAGAGACAGCAGGGGAGAAGTTCCCTGTGTCATGGGTCAGTATAGCGAAAAGAGCAGAAAATGAACATAAACGCAAATAAATAATAGTACTTAGTGGTAGGTCCCAAAAAGAAAATAAAATGGACTGATAGAGAGTAACTGGAGAGGCTCAATTAGAACGACTCTGCTGAGGGAGGTAACATTTGAGCTGAGAGCTGAAGAGCCAAAATCACAGGGATATGGAGAAGCAAGTTCCAGGCAGAGCGAGTAACAACAGTAAAGGGGCTAAGCCAGGGATCCCCAGCCCCCAGGCCATGGACCGGTACCGTTCTGTGGTCTCGCAGGATGTGAGTGGCAGCAGGTGGGTGAGCAGGCATTACTGCCTGAGCTGTGCCTTCTGTCAGATCCACCACAGCACTAGATTCTCGTAGAAGCGCCAACCCTATCATGAATTGCACATGACAGGGATCTAGGTTGCACATTCCTTATGAGGATCTAACTAATGCCTGATGATCTGATGATCTGAAGTGGAATAGTTTCATCCCAAAACCATCGCTCCATTCGTGGAAAAACTGTCTTCCAGGAAACCAGTCCCTGGGTGCCAAAAAGGTTGGGGACTACTGGGCTAAGCAATAGTGGCATGTGCAAAGAACAGCTAGAAAGCTGGAGTGTCTGCAGCATAGTGAGTAAAGGAGGGCATCCTTTTACATCCAGGGAGTTTTAGATACCTATTCCTAGGGTAAAGCAAAAAGAATGTTAGAAATAGGGCCGATGTAAATGAGAAGGTATCAAGGCAGCTTTGGTTACTTTATTGTCTTTGTTTATACACAGGTCTTTAGTGTGATTTAAAACTAAAAAAAAAGTGAAGATCTTGAATTTGCATCTCAAAACAGGGAAGCCACTTAAAATATTATTTACTTTGAAGAAACACAAAATACTATACATATATACCAATTTATACCATAGTACTTCTTAGCTGGTAAAACAGTCTTGGTTTTCTACCTATCATTTACCCAACCTTCCTTGCCACCAGAACCCCCAATTTGTTCAGATGTTCAATTAACAAAGTACTCAGAGAAGGTGGGGCTAGCCTCAGGGAATGAACTGTAAGTACAAGCAAACTATGACTATCCCATTATTCTTTCCCAGTGATTAGTTTAGGGGTCATCATATGAGCCAATTTTGGTTAATGAGACATAACAGGAAGTCTGATGTGGCAGTTTTGGAAAAGTTTTATCTGATAAAAGGAGAGAGAGATGTTGAAAAGGCTATATCCCTTTTTCTTCTTGCTTTGGACATTCTCATGTGAAAAGCTGATCCAGAGACCTGATCTTGCTGAACTGCTGACTTAGCCAAACCTGAACTACCTACCTCTGGACTTTTTATGAGAAAGCCCATATTTTTTCAAGCCACGTTTAGTAACATATTCTGTTATATATAGGCAATGGCAACCTCAATAACACAAGTGGACACTGCGTTACGTTTTTCAGTTCATAGCTTTTACTTTAGGTTATTTAACTTTATACTTTGTATTCCCCTAAATGTTCCAAATTATAAAAACAAATAGTTGTCCCCAGAAAAGGCAGAAGTTCCACAGACTCCACAAGGGAATGCATACTGTAAATCAAGTATGCATATATTATATGCTGCCTATATTCTTCTGAATCCTTTCCACTGTGCATTCTATCTTAAATTAATTACATGTCATCATGCACCAAACCAAGTAGGCACTAAACCATAGAAGAAAACATCTTATTCAAGAAGTCCTTTCCTATAAGAAGGAATACACATTTCAAAGCACTTCCATTCTTTTGAGTCAACTGCATATCTACTGCATAAAGAAGTCCTTAAAAGCAGATACAGTTACTATAATTTCTGTGGGTGAGTAATGTGTGTGTCACTTCATACAGAAAAGAGACCTATGACTTTTAAGTTAATAAAAAAATTTCCAGTTCAAAAAGGTTTTGAGTCATTGTATTATAGCATTTTTGGACATAGAAGACATGCAGCTTGAGATGAAAAGGTAATTTTGGACATTCTCATGGAAGGAGCAGATCCAGAGCCCTAATATTGTACATTTACAAAGTACCTAATAGGCCTTTAATAAATACTATTATCTCATTTAATTAGTTTCCAAGTATATATAATAGTTCCTGTGTCCAAATTAGAAGACTAAGGCTCAAAAACAGAGTACACAACACGCCCAAAGCCACTGGCTAATAAAAGGGTTGAACCCATGTCTGTCCAGCCAAGGATCTTACCCTTACACAATATCAGGCATTAATACCAAAGATGGCATTAAAAAGTCCTCCATAATCTGGGCCCTATCTTACTCTCCGGCCTCTTTTCTTGCCATTTCCTTAGTTGCACCTTATTTTGCAGAACCCTGATGTTCTGCAAAACCCACATGTATGTTTATTGCGGCACTATTCACAATAGCAAAGACTTGGAACCAACCCAAATGTCCAACAATGATAGACTGGATTAAGAAAATGTGGCACATATACACCATGGAATACTATGCAGCCATAAAAAATGATGAGTTCATGTCCTTTGTAGGGACATGGATGAAACTGGAAATTATCATTCTCAGTAAACTATTGCAAGGACAAAAAACCAAACACTGCATGTTCTCACTCACAGATGAGAACTGAACAATGAGAACACATGGACACAGGAAGGGGAACATCACACTCTGGGGACTGTTGTGGGGTGGGGGGAAGGAGGGAGGGTTAGCATTAGGAGATATACCTAATGCTAAATGACGAGTTAATGGGTGCAGCACACCAGCATGGCACATGTATACATATGTAACTAACCTGTACATTGTGCACATGTACCCTAAAACTTAGAGTATTAAAAAAAAAAAAAAAGACAGAAGGCAGTTTTAAGCCCAGAAAAGTTGGGCTCCTAACCTCCCATGGAGATTGGGAGATAGGGGCCCTATCTTTCTTTTTTTATTTTATTTTATTTTTTTTTTATTTTATTATATTATTATTATACCTTAAGTGTTAGGGTACATGTGTGTGTACTTAAAATACTAGTGGCAAAACAGAAACGGATGCTATTAAAAATATCAAAGTAGATAAAGCCATATGTTTTTCACCTATTCCTAATTCTAAAATTCTAGCAGACTTATTATGTGTAAAAACTGCACAGTGCTATGTTACCATGTATCATAATGCTCACTTACAGAACTTTTCTTTTTAATTGCTAGGCTGCCAAAGCCATATTGCGTATTTTCTCATAAACACAGAATAGCAGCCCTCCCTCCTCTTAAATGCAAATAAAATCCTTTTTGCCTACAGAAAGTGTTAATGAAAGCAAATACTGTCTGAAAAATTTAAACACACACACACAAACACACACACAGAGCATATAATGTACATGGCTTTCCAATCTCATGACTAATTATTTACTTCATAACCTTACGTATGATACACCCACAAGTGAGTACTTACAATTTCTGAAATACATCTGAATTTGAATTTGAGAAAAAGCATTCCTTCACAACCGGTAACCTTCAATCTAGGCTGATTCTAGCTTCACTAATGATAATCACTTTAAAATAAGATACAAAAGCAATGTAAAACATGTTAAATGACATTACAACTGTCTTATACTTTATGCAAATACAGCATAAAGGAATAAAGCACTTGCTGACTCAAGAAACACTGCTTTGGACTCATGAGTATAAATAAGTACTTCTATCTTTACTTTCCCTTCAGTTCGTTCCTAAATATACTATATACCAAAAATATGGTCTATGTAAAAAAAAAATAAATAAAAAGAATCATACATATAAATACATACATATTTGAAAAGTGAGCGAAAATAAAGCTTAAAATTTGAAACTTTACATTTTGGCATGGCCATGTTTTCTCAAACTTCCTTTGAAGTTAATGTTTAAAAACTGTCTAAATACACACAAATGAAAATTTTAAGAAAGACAAGAGTAGATGAATAGCGACTATATCTCAAGGAAAAATTATGCTCCCTATTTTGCCTTACTTTAGCCTCATTTTTTAAAGCTAGCAAACTGATGAGAGCAAAAGTGTCCTCATTTTATCTCATTGATTCACAATAAACACTCCAAAAATGGAAATAATGAATTTTCATTTTTTTCATAAAGAATATAACCTATCTCCTTAGGTTTCAATAAACCTAAAAAATATGAACCACTTTTGATTTGCAACACATACTTAAGCAACGACCTTACCTCTCTTGTAGACCTTAATATCATCAAAGCTTGCTCCAGAGCAGCTGACAACCAGTAAAAGTGTATGAAATATACCAAAGGTCTAAAAGAGGTACGTGTGTCTGCGTGTGTGTGTGTGTGTGTGTGTGTCTGTGTGTGTGTCTGTTAGTGATTTCTGGGAAGGAGAGTAACTGATGACCCTTAGAACCAAAATGCCTTAACTTATTCCATTTTAGAACAACCAGGCATGAAAGTTATGAATCTAAAAACTGCTAAATTGTAGCCTGCCTTTAAAAAAGTCTCTCCCACTTAAAATTAATTAGTTGTTTAACGCCAGAGAAGTCACTTAAAGTTCTTGAATTAGTTTCCTCACAGAGAAATTTGTGAAAGTACCAAAGACCTTACAGTTTAAAAATTTTATGATTCTTTAAAAAAAATCATCAAAAGCATCCAAACTTTCAAATCATTTCTACAGACAGCATACTAGTGATTACAGAATCAGACACATACTATTTCCCACAAGAAAGCCATGGGTCAATTACACTCATAATAACACTGATGCAAAAATTCTGCAGTCTTCATAAGCAAATTGAATCCAGCAGTGTGACAAAAATGGAGTTCAAAAGATGGGAAAACATAAATGAACATTAATACTCTACAAGGAAACACAAAAGACTTGAAATAAATTGAAAGGTAAAATATGTAAGGAAAGGAAGAATTTTATGTTTTAAAAATATAAATTCTTCTTCAATTAAACTACAAATTCAGGCCGGGGGTGGTGGCTCATGGCTGTAATCCCAGCACTTTGGGAGCCCAAGAAGGGCGAATCATGAGGTCAGGAGTTCGAGACCAGCCTGACCAACGTGGTGAAACCCCATCTCTACTAAAAATACAAATATTAGCCAGGCGTGATGGCACGTGCCTGTAATCCCAGCTACTCAGGAGGCTAAGGCAGGAGAATCACTTGAACCTGGGAGGCAGAGGTTGCAGTGAGCCAAGATCATGCCACTGCACTCCAGCCTGGGTGACAGAGTGAGACTCTGTCTCAAAAAAAAAAATGAAAATAAAAAAATAAACTACAAATTCAATATGATTTCAAAGAAACACCAACAAATACATTATAGTTGTTGTTGTTATAATTAGAGTTGAAAAGACATTTTTAGGCTGAAAAAAACAGGAAAATTCTGACAAATGTAGTAATGACTAATTTACTAAATATTCTACTAATCTACAAAAATACATTAAAAACTTACAGTTAAAGAAAACTAAATTTATATTGGCCTGAAACAGACAAGCATATTACAAAATAGAATAATGGAATGAGGTAATGATTTATAAACTTTACAGGCAGAATATATAATATCTTAGTTTAAAATTGAACAGCATACATAATCTAATTTACCTCAAAATAACTGATCAAAAGGAAAAAATTAATTCTATGGATCCAAGATAGAATTACTTACTCCAAAAGACTCTAAAGAATTCCACAGGAGAAAAAAAAAACTCCTTACAACTATACTCCAGCTAAACATCTGTTCTCTAATTAATAATTTACATTATCTATCCTACACCTTTTTAGCAAGACAATTTTTCAAGACAGCAGAATGATTAAAAACTCTCTTGAGCCAGACTGTCTTTGAAACCAGGACTGTCACTTTCTAACAGCATGTCCTTGAGCAAGTTACCTAACCTCTCTGGTCTTCCATTTTCTTAACTAAATATTATGGAAGCATCTCAAAAAAATACATATGGTTAAATCAGGTTGTCGGACTGAGCCCAAGAATGTATTCCCTCCTACCTAAAATGTCTTAATTGATAGAAAAGAAAAATACACATGAACATGCAGTCATCTATAACAACACTTAAAAACCATAAACCACACTGCTGAAAGAAATTAACGAAGACACCAATAAATGGAAAAATACCCCATGTTCATGGGTTAAAAGACTTAATATTGTTAAAATGTCAATACTACCCAAAGAAATCTACAAACCAACGCAATTCCTATCAAAATCCCAAGTCCTTTTTGCAGAAGTAAAAAACAAAACAAAACAACCCTAAAATTCATATGAAATCTCAATAAACTGCAAATAGTCAAAGCAATCTTGAAAAAGAACTAAGTTGGATATCCCATACTTTCTGATTTCACAACTTAAACTATGGTAATCAAATAGTGTGGTACTGGAATAAAAGCTGATTAAAACCAATGAAACAGATTAAAGAGCCCAAAAATAAATTCTGGCATAATGGTAAAATGATTTTCAATACAGGTTACAAGACCATTCAATGGGAAAAGAACAATCTTTTCAACAAATGGTGTCAGAAATACGAGATACCCACATGCAAAAGAATGTTGTTGGGCCCTTAGCTTACACCATACACAAAAAATTCACTCAAAATGAATCACGGACTAAACCATAAGTGCTAAAACTATAAAATTCTTAGAAAAAAAATAGGGGGAAATCTTTACAACATTGGACTTGGGATTGCTTTCTTGGATATGACACCAAACGTACCGGCAACAACAACAAAAAAATAGATAAATTATACAACCTCAAATTTTAAAACTGCATCAAAAAACACAATCAAGAAAGTGAAAAGGCAACTCACAGAATGGGAGAAAATATTTGCAAATCATACATCTAATAAGAGGTTAATATCCAGAACATATTAAAAATTCCTACAACTCAACAACAAACAAATAATGCCTCTAATCCCAACACTTTGGGAGGCTGAGGCAGAAGGATCACTTGAATCCAGGAGTTTGAGACCAGCCTGGGCAAGACAGTGAGACTCTGTCTCTACCAAAAACATTAAAAATTAGCCAGTTGTGGTGGCATGTACCTGTAGCCCCAGCTACTCAGGAGACTGAGGCAGAAGGATCACTTCAGCCTGGGAAGTCGAGGCTGCAGTGAACCGTGATTGCCACTGCATTCCAGCCTGAATGAGAGATCAAGACCCTGTCTCTTAAAAAAAAAAAAAAAAAAAAAAGATGGGGTGGGAGGGGAGGAGATTTTGGCTATGCCACAGCATGGAAAATCTTGGAGAACATTACGCTAAGCAAAATAAGCTAGTCACAAAAAGACTAATATTGTATAATTCTACTCATATGAGGTAACTAGAGGAGTCAAAGTTATAGAGAAAGGAGGCAGAATGGTGGTTCCCAGGAGTTGGAGCACAAAAAAAAGGAAAGTTATTATTTAATGCATACAGTTAGTTTTGCAAGAGAAAAAGAGTTGCGAAAATGGATGGTGGTGGTGGTGGTGGTGGTGGTTGTAAAATATGAGTGTACCTAATTCCACCGAACTATATATTTAAAAATGGTTCAGACTGTAAATTTTATATGTGTATTTTACCACAACTTTTTTTACAAAGCATTAAAAGAGATATCAGTTGATCAGAAATCGTTGGGACAGAAAATAGCTGGTGAGTGGATGGGATCTGATTGGTAGAAATGAAGTCAACCACAACACAAAACTGCTAGAGAAAACTACAGCAGATCCACAAAAATTCCACGCTCAGAAGAAATAATACAAAGATTGAGGAGGGGTTCCTACTGCAATCTTTAGGATAATTAAACAATACTAAGGAACCTAGACCACCCATACCCATACTAAAACCCTCCCCCATATCCTAAGCTTCAAGGAACAGAGAAATTTTTGTTGCCAACCTGAAAAACAAGAGCTGCTCTCTTTATAAATAACAGCATACCATAACATAATGTTCATCCTCCCCAGTAAATCAGGAAATCCAAAGTCAGTGAGATCTCTTTCCACAAACAATTTGGTCAGATTTTAATCATTAATTCTGTAGGTATGGAAAAAGATACTCCAATATGTTAACATAGCCTTTGTTATGGTAACTTATAGTTTCTATACAATTTAAATATAAATACTCTTCAACTGAGCCATTTTACTTCTAATTATCTTATACGGCCTGGATGTGTGTCTCTCCAAATCTCATGCTGAAATGTCTCATGCTCCAATGTTGGAGGTGGGGGCCTTGTAAGAGGTGTTGGATCACGGAGGCAGATACCTCATGAAAAGCTTAGAACCATCCCCTTGATGATGTGTGATCCTTGCTTTATCACCGCTTCACACAAGAGCTGGTGGTTTAAAAGGAGCCTGGCACCTCCTCTCCCTCTTGCTCCCTCTCTTGCCATGTGACCTACTAGCTTCCCTTCCACCATGATTGTAAGCTTCCTGAAGCTTGCCCTCCCCAGAAGCAGAAGCCAACACTGTGCTTTGTGTACAGCCTGAAGAACCATGAGCTAAATAAATCTCTTTTCTTTATAAATTACCCAGCCTTAGGTATTCCATATAGCAATGCAAACAGCCTAATACATTATGTATCACAGATAAAATACTCACATACACATATGCATAATGACGTTTACTATAGCACTGCTTACATAATAGTAACGAACTAGACATAAACTAAACATACATCAGAATAGCTGAATAAACTACTGTACAATCATTCAATGGAATGTCATGAAACACTTGATTGGTTGGTTATTTCTTTGTATATTTTAATTTGTACCAGCATTCCTCAGAGATATAGCAGGTTTAAGTTCCAGACAATGGCAATGAAGCAAATACCACAAACAAACAAGTCACACAAATTTTTTGGTTTCCCAGCACATATAAAAGTTTTGCAGTCTATTAGGTATGCAATAGCATTTTGTCAAAAAAATGATATATCTTAATTTTAAAATACTTTATGGCTAAAAAATGCTTACACTCATCTGAGCCTTCAGTGAGTCATCCTCCTTTGGTGGAGGGTCTTGTCTCAAAGTTGATGTCTGCTAACTGATCAGAGTGGAGGTTGCTAAAGGTTGGGTAGGCTGTGGCAATTTCATAGAATAAGACAATAATGAAGTTTGCTGCATCAATGGACTCTTCCTTCCATGAAGGACTTCTCTGTAGCATGTGATGCTGTTTGACAGCATTTTACACACAGGAGAACTTCTTTTTTTCCACAGTAAACTTTTTTCAAAACTGGAGTCAATCCTCTCAACCCCTACTGCTGCTTATATAATATTCTAAATCTTATATAATAACTTATATAATATATAATGTACATATAACATATAACTAAGCTTATATAATATTCTAAATCTTATATAATATTCTAAATTTTAATATTCCAAATCTTACATAATATTCTAAATCTTTTGTAGTCATCTCAACAATGTTCACAGCATCTTCACCAGGAGTAGATTCCATCTCAAGAAACTATGTTCTTTGCTCATTCATAAGAAGCAAATCCTCATCTGTTCAAGTTAAATTATGAGATTTCAACAATTCATTTGCATCTTTAGGTTCCACTTCTAATTTTAGTTCTCTTGTTATTTTCACTATATCTGCAATAACTTCCTCACTGAAGTCTTGAACCCCTCAAAGTCATCCACGAGAGTTGGAATCAACTTCTTCCAAACTCCTGTTATTATTTTGACCTCCTCCCACGAATCACAAATGTTCTTAATGACATCGAGAATGGTGAATCCTTTCTAGCAGGTTTTGAACTTACTTTTTCCAGATCCATCAGAGGAATCACTATTTATGGCAACTATAGCCTTATGAAATGTATTTCTTAAATTATAAGACTTGAAAGTCAGATTTACTCCTTGATCCACGGCTGCAGAAAGGACGTTGTATCAGCAGGAGTGAAAATAACGTGAATCTCCTTTATACATCTTCATCAGATCTCTTGCGTGAACAGTAATATTTTGAAAGGTATCTTTTTCTCTGAGCAATAGGTGTCAAAAAGGAGCTAAAAATATTCAATAATCCATGCTGTAAACAGATGAGCCATCATCCAGGCTTTCTTTTTCCAGTTACAAAGCACAGACAGAGTAGATTTTGCATGATTTTTAAGGACCTTAGGTTTTTCAGAATGGTAAATGACCACTGGCATCAACCTGAAACTCACCAGCTGCATTATCCCCTAACAAGCAAGTCGGCCTATATTTTGAAGCTCTGAAACCCAGGCACTGATTTCTCTCTTGCTATCAAAGTCCTTCTAATAGAAGTCTATTTTGTCTACATTAAAAACCTACTGTTTAGTGTAGACACCTGCATCAATAATATTAGCTAGATATTCTGGATAGCTTGATGCAACTTCTACATCAGCACTTGACGATTCACCTTGCACTTTTTTGTTAAAGAGATAGCTTCTCAAACCTCATGAACCAACCACTGATAGCTTCAAACTTTTCTCCTGTAGCTTCATCACCTCTCTCAATCTTAACAGAATTGAAGAGAGTTAGAGCCTTGCTGTAGATTAAGCTTTGCCTAAGGGAATGTTATAGCTGGTTTGATCTTCTATCCAGACCACTCAAATTTTCTCCCTATCAGCAATAAGGTTATTTTCACTTTTTTATCATTTATGTGTTCACTGGAGTAACACTTTTAATTTCCTTCAATAAATTTTCTTTTGCATTCACAACTTGGCTATCTAGCTTGGTACAAGAGGCCTAGTTTTCAGTCTATCTCTGCTTTTGTCATGCCTTCCTCAATAAGCTTAATCATTTCTAGCCTTTGATTTAAAGTAAGTGACATGTGACTCTTCCTTTCACTTGAACGCTTAGAGGCCATTCTAGGATATTAATTGGCCTAATTTCAAAATTGTTGTATCTCAGAAAATAGGACAGCCTGAGAAGAGGAAGAAAGAGAAAGGCCAGTAGGTGGAACAATCAAAACACACAAAACATTGATTAAGTTTGCCTTCTTCTATAGGTGAGGTTTGTGGCACCCCAAAACAATCACAAAAGTAACATCAAATATCACTGATCACAGACCACCACCATAACAGAAATAATACCAATGAAAAAGTTTGAAACATTGTAAGAATTACCAAAATGTTAAACAGACATGATCTGAGCACATGCTGTTGGAAAAACGGTGCTGACAGATTTACACGAAGCAGAGTTGCTACAAATCTTCAATTTGTAAAAATCGCACTAGAAGATGGCCAACTAGACAGAAGCAAGTAGAATAGCTCCCACAGAGGGACTGGAATGACAGGCATGCTTGAAACAGATCTTCAGAGGGATGGCGCCGAGAGTGAATGGAGGGAAGACACAGAAGCTGGGCAGAAGGAGGAGAAAGACAGGAACACTGAAAACACTAACATGCACTGGGACTCATTTTTGAGCCACAACAGCTCCAGGGAAGCAGGTGAGGTGAAAAGGCAAGGAGCAATCTGCTCTCACTATGGGCCTCTGGATCCCTGGCAGAAGGGGACCCCTTGATCACCATGGACACTGAGGTAGCAGGAAAAGCTGCTTAGAGAACCCAGAGGGTTTGGTGCAGGAGTGTCTATAGTGGAGCACAGCCCGGAACAGCCATCCCGCTAGGCTCAACTTGCTCCCATAAGAGACTTTAGCCCTAGGGGAAATGTCACACATGAACTCTGCAGGGCAGTCTTGCACGTTAGATGGGGCTGGTCTGACCTGAGCACCCCTCAGTTGGCTGGCCTCTCCCAGGGCCCCAGCCTAGTCACACTTGCTTAAAGAGCAGCCTCCAGTGCCCTGGGGGCCTATACCATACCTTCTGCACAGACAGACTGTGCCTGTCTGGTAGAGAGCTTCAGCAGGGCGGCTCCTACAGCCATACATCAGCCTGCATGCGGCTTCTTCATACTGCAGCATACCTGCAAGCCCACAGCAACTCCCCACCTCACTTTGCTGGTACATGTCTGCATGGTGAGTTTTGCTTTACTTGCACCACCCACATGTGAGAATGCAGGATGCCCATCGCCCCTGCCAATCCCCACTGACGGCTCCCTTGGTGGGCACACAGCCAGCATGGCCCGCTTTCACCAGCAACTCACACTTGCGCTAACCCTGACAGAGAACAAGGAATCCTCCCACAACCTTAGAGACACTCCATCTTGAGGGGCACAGAGAAGGCACCTAGACCTGTACCAACCAGCATCCTGCCCCAAGCCAACTCCATCTCAACTGCAACAGAGCAGAGTCTCCAGGAGGAGACTTTGCAACCCCTCTACTCACCCCACACAACTTGCCTTCACCACTGTGGTGAATGCCAGCAGGGAGGCAGGCACCCCTGCATCCACCAGCACTCTGTTGCAACTGCTGCAGCTTGGACCCCCAAGTGCAGTGGATTCCAAGGCTTAAGGAGCCAGAGAACAAAGTCTGGGTGCAATACAAGTCCCCAGGAGTTACAGCACTCAGTCTAAGAGGTGGGAGTTGAGCATTGGCCCTGTAAAAACTCCCAGAAACAAAACCAGTCGACTGAATCCACCTTATTCCACAATAAAACCCTCAAGGTCATCAAACAAGATAAAAGAAAAAGAAAACCCATCCAAGGGTGAGCAATCTCAAAGACTGAATATAGATAAGACCACAAAGATGGGAAAGAATCAGTGCAAGAATGCTGAAAACTCATAAAGCCAGAGTATGTTCTTTCCTCCAAATGACCACATCACCTTTCCAACAATGGTTTGGAACCAGGGTGAGGCTGAGATGGCTGAAATGAGAGAAATATAATTTAGAATATGAATATGAACAAAGTTTGTTATTTACAGAAGTACATTAAAACCCAATGCAAGGAAGCTAAAAATCATCATAACACAATGCAGGTGCTGATAGACAAAAGAGCCAATATAGAGAAGACTGTAAGCAACATGATAGAGCTGAAAAACACACCATAAGAATTTCACAATGCAATCAAAAGTATTAACAGCAGAACAGACCAAGTGGAGGAAAGAATCTCAGAGCTTGAAGACTGGCTTTCTAAAATAAAACAGGCCGACAAGAATAGAGAAAAAAGAAAAGAAAAGGAATGAACAAAACCGCCAAAAAATATGGGATTACAAAAAGAGAACAAATCTATGACTGATTGGGGTACCTGAAAGAAACGGGGAGAAAGGAACCAACTTGGAAAACATATTTCAGGATATCATCCAGGAGAACTTCCCAAAGCTAGCTAGAGAGGCCAACATTCAAATTCCAGAAATGCAGAGAGCCCCAGTAAGATACTCCATAAGAAGATCAACCACAAGACTGATAATCATCAGATCCTCCAAGATCAAAATTAAAGAAAAAAAATGTTAAAGGCAGTCAGAGAAAAAGGCCAGGTCACCTACAAAGAGAAACCCATCAGACAGTGAACCTCTCCACAGAAACTGTACAAGCCAGAAGAAATTGGAGGCCAATATTCAATATTTCTTAAAGAAAAGAAATCCAACCCAGAATTTCATAACTACCAAACTAAGATTCATACGGAGAAAAAAGTAAGATCATTTTCAAACAAGCAAATGCTGAGGGAAATTGTTGCCAACTGCCTTATGAGAGTTCCTGAAGGAAGCACTAAATATGGAAAGGAAAGACCACTACAGCCACTACAAAAACAAACTGAAGTATGCAGACCAGTGACACTATAAAGCAACCACATAAACAAGTCTGCAAAATAACCAGCTAGCATCATGATGACAGGAACAAATCCACATATATCAATACTATCCTTAAATGTAAATGGGCTAAATGCCCCAATAAAAAGACACAGCATGGCAACCTGTATAAAGAACCAAGACCTATTGGTATGTTGTCTTCAAGAGACCATCTCACATGCAGTGATATACATGGGCTCAAAATAAAGGGAGGGAGAAAAATCTACCAAGCAAATAAAAAATAGAAAAAAGGTAGGGGTTGCAATCCTAGTTTCTGAAAAAAAAAAAAAAAAAAAAAAGACTTTAAACCAACAAAGATCATAAAAGACAAAAAGGTGCATTACATAATGGTAAAGGGTTCAATTCAACAAGAGCTAACTATCCTAAATATGTATGTGCCCAACACAGGAGCATCCAGATTTATAAAGCAAGTTCTCAGAGACCTTCAAGGAGACTTAGACTTCCACACAATAATAGTGGAGACTTTAACACCCCACGGACAATCTTACACAGATCAAGACAAAAAACTAACAAAGATATTAAGGACCTGAACTCAGCACTGGATCGAACGGACCCAACGGGTATCCACTCTCTGTGAAAAACAACAGAATATATATTCTTTTCTTCGCCACATAACACATACTCTAAAATTATCACATAATCAGAAGTAAAACACTCTTCGGCAAATGCAAAAGAACTAAAATTACAACAAGTAGTCTCTTGGACCACAACACAATCAAAATTAAAATCAAGACAAAGAAAATTCACTCTAAACCATACAATTACATGGAAATTAAATAACCTGCTCCTGAATGACTTTTGGGTAAATAATGAAATGAAGGCAGAAATCAAGAACTTCTTTGAAACTAATCAGAACAAAGCTACAACATACCAGAACCTCTGGGACACAGGTAAGGCAGTGTTAAAAGGAAAATATATAGCACTAAATGCCCACATCAAAAAGTTACAAAGATCTCAAATTAACAACCTAACATCTCAACTAAAAGAACTAGAGGACCAAGAGCAAACAAATTCCAAAGCCAGCAGAAGACAAGAAATAACCACAATCAGAGCTGAAGGAGGCTAAGACATGAAAAACCGTGAATTGAAGGAGACTAAGACATGAAAAACCATTCAAAAGACCAAGGAATCCAGGAGTTGATGTTTTGAAAAAATTTAAAAAAAGAATAGACCACTAGCTAGACTTATAAACAAGAAAAGAGATATGATTCAAATAAATACAATCAGAAACGACAAGAGGGGTATTACCACTGACCCCACAGAAGTACAAACAACTATCACAGAGTAGTATGAACACCTCTATGCACATAAACTAGAAAATCTAAAAGAAATGGATACATTCCTGGACACATACACCCTCCCAAGACTGAAACAGGAAGAAGTCCTTAAACAGACCAATAATGAGCTCTGAAATTGAGGCAGTAATAAATAGCCTACCAACCAAAAAAAGCCAAGGACCAGATGGATTCACAGCTGAACTCTGCCAAATGTACAAGAAGAGCTGGTATCATTCCAACTAAAACTATTCCAAAAGATTGAGGAGGAGGGACTCCTCCCAAACTCATTCTGCAAGGCCAGCATCATCGTGATACCAAAACCTGGCAGAGACACAATAAAAAAAGAAAACTACAGGCAACTATTCTTGATGAACATCAATGCAAAAATGCCTAACACAATACTGGAAAACCAAATTCAACAGCACATCAAAAAGCTTATCCACCATAATCAAGTAGGCTTTATCCCTGGAATGCAAGGTTAGTTCAACACATGCAAATCAATAAATGTGAAAACAGAACTAAAGGCAAATATACTCCTTATCTCAATAGATGCAGAAAAGGCTTTCAATAAAATTCAACATCCATTCATGTTAAAAACTCTCAAGTGGCCGGGTACAGTGGCTCATGCCTATAATCCCAGCACTTTGGGAGACCGAGGCAGGTGGATCACAAGGTCAGGAGATCGAGACCATCCTGGCTAACATGGTGAAACCCCATCTCTACTAAAAGTACAAAAAATTAGCCAGGCGTGGTGGCGGGTGCCTGTAGTCCCAGGTACTTGGGAGGCTGAGGCAGGAGAATGGCATGAACCCAGGAGATGGAGCTTGCAGTGAGCGGAGATCACACCACTGCACTCCAGCCCGGGTGACAGAGCAAGACTCCGTCTCAAAAATAAAAAAAATAAAAAAAATAAAAAAAGCTCTCAAGAAACCAGTCATTGAAGAAACATACCTCAAAATAATAAGAGCCATATATGACAAACCAGCAGCCAACATCATACTGAATGGGCAAAAGAGGGAAGTATACCCCTTGAAAACCAGCAAAACACAAAGATGCCCTCTTTCACTACTCCTATTCAACACAGTATTTGACGTCCAGGCCAGGACAATCGAGCAAGAGAAAGAAATAAAGGGCATCCAAAAAGGAAGAGAGAAAGTCAAACAATCCATGTTTGTAAACAACATGATAACATGATCCTATAGCTAGAAAACCCCAGAGTCTCATCCCAAAAGCTTAAGCTCATAAACAACTTAAGCAAAGTTTCAGGATACAAAATAAATATGCAAAAATCACTAGCATTCCTATACACCAACAACAGTTAAGCTGAGAGCCAATTCAGAAACCTACTCCCATTCACAACTGCTACAAAAAGAATAAAATACCTAGGAATACAACTAACTAGGGAGGTGAAAGATCTCTACAAGGAGAACTACAAAACACTGCTCAAAGAAACCAGAGATCTCACAAACAAATGGAAAAACATTAAAATGGGCATACTACCCAAAGTAATTTATACATTCAATGCTATTCCTATTAAATTCTCATTGAGATTCTTCACAGAACTAGAAAAAAACTAATTTAAAGTGCATATGGAACCAAAAAAGAGCCCAAATAGCCAAGGCAATCCTAAGCAAAAAGGACAAAGCTGGAAGCATCACACTATCTGACTCTGAACTATACTACAGGGCTACAGTAACCAAAACAGCATGGTATTGGTATGAAAACAGACACATAAACCAATGGAACAGAGTAAAGAACCCAGAAGTAAGCCCACACACTTACAACTATCTGATCTTTGTCAAACCTCACAAAAACAAGCAATGGGGAAAGGAGTCCCTATTCAATAAATGGTGCTAGGATAACTGGCTAGTCATATGCAGAAGATTGATACTGGACCCCTTCATTATACCATATAAAAAATTAACTCAAGATGAATTAAAAACTTAACTGTAAAACTCAAAACTATAAAAACCCTGAAAGACAACCATTCAGGACACAGGCACAGGCAGAGATTTCATAACAAAAATCTTTGTTGACAATGTCAAAAGCAATTGCAACAAAAGCAAAAATTGACAAATGGGATCTAATTAAACTGAAGAGTTTCTGCATAGTAAAAGAAACTATCATCAGAGCAAACAGACAATCTACAGAATGTGAGAAAATTTTTGCAAATTATGCATCCAAAAAAGGAATGCTATCTATTAAACAAATTCACAAGAAAAAAAAATCCTATTAAAAAGTGGATAAAGGATATGAACACTTCAAAAGAAGACATACATGTGGCCAACAGTCATATGAAAGAAAGCTCAATATCACTGATCATTAGAGAAATGCAAATCAAAAGCACAATGAGATGCCATCTCACACCAATCAAAATGGTTATTATTAAAAAGTCAAAAAATAACAGATGCTAGCAAGGTTGTAGAGGAAAAGGAACACTTCTACACTGTTGGGGGGCTGTAAATCAGCTCAATCACTGTGAAAGGCAGTTTCGAGATGACTCAAAGACCTAAAGTCAGAAATATCATTTGACCCAGAGGTCCCATTACTGGCTATATACCCAATGGAATATAAATCATTCTATTATAAAGATACATGCACGTGTATCTTCACTGCAGCACTATTCACAATAGCAAAGTCATGGAATCAACCTAAATGCCTATTAGTGATAGACTGAATAAGGAAAATGCAGTACATATACACCATGGAATATTACGCAGCCATTAAAAAGAACAAGATGGGCCAACTGCGGTGGCTCATGCCTGTAATATCAGCACTTTGGGAGGCTGATATTGGGCCTTTGACTTTGGGAGGTCAAGAGTTCGAGAGCAGCCTGGCCAGCACGGTGAAACCTGTCTCTACTAAAAATATTAAAATTAGCTGGGCATGGAGGCGCACACCTGTAGTCCCAGCTACTTGGTAGGCTGAGGCAGGAGAATCACTTGAACCCAGGAGGCAGAGGTTGCAGTGAGCCAAGATCGCACCACTACACTCCAGCCTGGGCGACAGAGCGAGACTACAGCTCAAAAAAAAAAAAAAAAAAAAAGAACGAGATCATGTCCTTTGCAGGGACATGGATGGAGCTAAAGGCCCTTATCCTTAGTAAACTAACGCAGGATTAGAAAATCAAATACCACATGTTCTTACTTATACGTAGAGCTAAGTGATGAGAACACAGGAATACATAGAGGGAAACAACACACATTGGGGCCTACTGGAGGGTAGAGAGTGGGAGGAGGGAGAAGATCAGGAAAAATAACTAATGAATACTAGGATTAATATCTGGGTGATGAAATAATCTGTACAAAGAAACCCCATGACACACATTTACCTTTGTAACAAACCTGCCCATGTACCCCTAAACTTAAAATACAAGTTAAAGAAAACTTTTAATCACACTATCTGCAAAGCGCGATAGAGTGAATACAATACAAAAGTGGTATGCCTCTATATCTTATGCACCGACACAGAAAGATAACTACAAATGAAGAATTATATTTTGACAGTTAAAAGAGAGTTTTAAAGTTGCACTAGTGCTCAATTCACATCCAGACTGCAGTATTTTTGTCACTGTAAGCTATTTGACATTTTTCTGTTGTGAACAATAATCTTGTATCTGTCTAATTCTTAGACCCACATTTTCCTCCACATTTTACCATCTCTAAAATTAGGATATGTCTTATAATAAACAGAATTTTAGATTCCCAAACATCAAATACAACCTGTTTTAAAAATTAATGAGCTCAAAAACACTTATCAATCAGATGCGTGTAACAGTTGGGATTCCCTTTGGAATTTTAAAAACTCTCTTTAAAGCATGCCACCTGATTTTCAAGTGGAATGGGGTTTTGTTTTGTTTTTTCATTAGATTCTGGGCACAACAAAACCGTTATTATATTTACTTATTTCCTTTTAGAAAATACATCTCAGCTTTTTTCCATTTACAGATTATCTCAATTCTCATATATTTGTTGGGCTATGGCATCTCTACAAACACATACCACTGGAAAATATATACTAAAATGCATTTAAATGGTGCTACTCTTCATGTAAAGTGTATTCATTATTCTGAAAACAAAAGGCTATCAAACTAGTTATTTATTTTTTACATATAAAAATAATATTATCTTTCTCATACATTTCATACTCTTTCCTAGCAGGCTAGTCTAAAATGTTTAAATATTGAAATAACCATCAAAAGTCACGGCTAAACTTATACATGAACCAAGACCTTAAGCTCTTTAGTTTGAAGAAGTATTTTGTTTGGGGGTTTCTTTAACAATTAAAACAAATACATTTCTCAATATTTTTATACAGCTTTTTGGAACTCGCTGAAAACCACTTCAATCACCTTAAAGCTCTAATGCTATCAGCAAAACGTGTTGCATGCAAATGATTTGATCTTAACTGATTAGTAACTTCATCCAACAGAATTAAACTCATAGTTTTAGTTTTAATGTTATATATTAGATTTTGAATGCATTCTAACATACATCTATTTTGGAGAAAAATACTTTATTCCTGCAACAAAATACTTAACATGCTAGCTACCTTGTGTTTCTCATACTATGTTTAAATTCATACAGAAAAAGCAAATACAGTACTAAAGGTGTAGGTACCATTTTTAAAATATCTGTTAAGTCACATGAATTTCACAAGAATTTGATTCAACTGATACCTTTGCTTTCTGTTTTATCATAAGTTAATATGCCTCTAAATACCATAATCTAAGATATAATTTTTTAAAACCTTCATTGCTAATTTCAAAAAAATATAATTTGAGTATTTGAAAAGTTCATACGCCTAAGAAATAACATGGCTTATATGAGTATTAATAATTTGAAAGTATTATTTCTTTCTAATAGCTATCAGCATTATTTGAAACTGATATATTTCTAGAACCTCAATATTTCTTTTAATAAAGAAATGAAAAACAAATACTACTGGTCTTAGAGGATGTATTAGTCTGTTTACATACTGCTATAAAGATACTACCTGAGACTAGGTAACTTATAAAAGAAAAAGGTTTAATTGACTCAGAGTTCCACATGGCTGGGGAGCCTTCAGGAAACTTACAATTACGGTAGAAAGTGAAGGGGAAGCAGGCGCCTCTTACACAACAGCAGGAGAGAGAGAGAGCACAATAGAAAACTGCCACTTTTAAAACCATCAGATCTCGTAAGAAATCCCTCACCATCATGAGAATGGCAAGAGAAAAACCAGCCCCATTATTCGATCACTTCCCAACAGGTCCGTCCTCCAACACTGGGAATTAAAATTTGACATAAGATTTGGGTGGGGACACAGAGTCAAACTATATCATTCCGTCCCTGCCCCCTTGCAAATCTCATGTAATTTGCACATTTCAAAGCCAATCTCGCCTTCATAACAGTCCCCCAAAGTCTTAACTCATTTCCACATTAACCCAAAAGTCCAAGTTCAAAGCCTCATCTGAGACAAGTACCTTCCGCCTATGAGCCAGTACAATCAAAAACAAGTTAGTTACTTCCAAGATACAATGGGAGTACAGGCATTGGGTAAATGTTCCCATCCCAAATGGGAGAAATTGGCCAAAACAAAGGGACCACAGGCCGCATGCAAGTCCAAAACCCAGCTGGGCAGTCATTAAATCTTAAAGCTCCAAAATATCCTTTGACTCCAGGTCTCACATGCAGGGCAAGTTGATGCAACAGGAGGGCTTCCAAAGTCTTGCACATCTCAGCCCCTGTGGCTCTGCAGGGCACAGTCCCTACGGCTGCTTTCATGGGCTGGCATTGAGTATCTGTGGCTTTTCCAGGTGCATGGTGCAAGCTGTCAGTGGATCTACATTCTGGGGTCTTGAGGACAGTGGCCCTCTTTTCAGAGCTCCACTAGGCAGTGCTCCACTGGGGACTCTGTGTGGGGGCTCCAAACCCACATTTCCCTTCTGCACTGCCTTAGCAGAGGTTCTCCATGAGGGCTCTGCACCTGCAGCAGACTTCTGCCTGTACATCCAGTCGTTTCCATACATCCTTTGAAATCTAGGCTCCCATAACTCAACTCTTGACTTCTGCACACCTGCAGGCCCAAGGCACATGGAAATTGCCAAAGCTTGGGGCTTGCACCCTCTGAAACAATGTTCTGAGCTGTACCTTAGCCTACCCTTTAGCAATGGCTGGAGATGGAGCTTCGGGGCACAGGGCACCAAGCCCTGAGGCTGCACAGAGCAGCAGGGCCCTGGGGCCAGCCCACAAAACCATTCATAGGAAAGTCTGCCACGAAGATATCTGACATGCCCTGGAGACACTTTCCCCATTGTCTTGCCTACTAACACTCAGCTCCTCATTACTTATGCAAATTTATGCAGCCAGCTTGAATTCCTCCCCAGAAAATGGGTTTTTGTTTCCCACCTCATGGTCAGGCCGCAAATTTTCCAAACCTTTATGTTCTGCTTCTCTTTTAAACATAAGTTAACAAAAGTTCCAATATCAAACCATCTCTTTGAGAATACCTACATCCTGAATGCTTTGCTGCTTAGAAATTTGTTCTGCCAGGTACCCTAAATCATCTCTTTCAAGTTAAAAGTTCCACAGATCTCTAGGGCAGGGACAAAATTCAGCCAGTCTCTTTGCTAAAGCATAGCAAGAGTGACCTTTGCTCCAGTTCCCAATAAGTTCCTCATCTCCATTTGAGACCACCTCAGCCTGGACTTCATTGTCTATTTCATTACCAGCATTTTGGTCAAAACCATTCAACAAGTCTCTAGGAAGTCCCAAATTTTTCCACATCTTCCTGTCTTTTTCTGAGCCCTCCAAACTGTTCCAACCTCTGCCTGTTACCAAATTCCAAAGCTGCTTTCACATTTTCAGATTATCTTTATAGCAGTACCCACTCTGCCAGTACCAATTTCCTATATTAGTCCATTTTCACATTGCTATAAAGACACTACCTGAGACTGAGTGATTTCTAAACAAAAGCAGTGTAATTGACTCACAGTTCCCCGCATAGCTGAGGAGGCCTCAGGAAACTTACGATCATGGTAGAGGACAAAGGGGAAGTAGGCACCTCTTACATGGCCACAGGAGAGAGAGCACACAAGGGGAGACTGACACTTTTATAACCATCAGATTTCATGAGAATTCCCTCACTATCACAAAAACAGCACCCCCATGATCCAATCACCTCCCACCAGGTCCCTCCCTCAACATATGGGGATTACAATTGGAGATGAGATTTGGGTGGAGACACAGAGCCAAACCATATCACAAGATAAAACTTATTTCAAAATCTTTTTACAGGAGAGAGAAAATAAATAAAGCTAACAAAAATGACACTTGAAAATGGTGGGGCTATGAACTTCACAAATATTTATAGTTCTGTAAGTAATGAGCAGAAGAGACAGAATAGTGTAGTTCAAAATTAGACAGCAGATTTTTGTAAATTTGTAAAAGCTCTTTTTCTGTAGATACAATTTTGCAGTTACTAGATTAAAAAGGAACAGGCAAAAAGAAACATGAAGACTATGATGAACATTTCTCATCTCTGTTTAATCAAATCTAGAATGTTCTTAATAAAATTCTTCCAGAAGCACTAACATTTGAGAGTAATGTATACTTCTCACTTCACTAACAGATCTGTGCTTTTACATACATACATACATGTAGTTCCTTTTGTATGTTTTTCAAAAACTCACCCACAGAACCTGAACAATACTAAATTCTTCACTCCCATTGGCTACTTCAAGAAATATTATGCTGTCTTGCTTATCCTGAGTTCTAGAAATGTTAAGTTTGTAATATACTATTAACCTCCCACTCTCCTTCAGAAATCAGTGTCTATGAACCACATCAGTAACACTAGAAGATAATTCCATGTCACATAAATTTGCTGTAACTAAAGGTGAACTAAATTATCGACACACTCATACACAAAGTTCATCAAATACATATTTAAATTTATCTTAGTACAGGGTACTGTACTTTACCCAACTCAAAAAAATTTACTTTCTGAAAATATTTCACACTTTAGCCAATTAAAATTTTTTTAATCATATGCATAGCTTTTTCCTTTCACAAAAATTATTTCTTCAAATATCCTCTAACACTTTGTATCCTATTTCTCCGGATGGTCAAAATAAGCTTTTAAAAACCTTCCAGGTTGGGGCTGGGCGTGGTGGCTCATGCCTGTAATCCCAGCACTTTGGGAGGCCGAGGCAGGAAGATCACAAGGTTAGGAGATCCAGACCATCCTGGCTAACACGGTGAAACCCGGCCTCTACTTAAAATACAAAAAATTAGCCGGGCGTGGTGGCAGTCCCAGCTACTTGGGAGGCTGAGGCAGGAGAATGGCATGAACCTAGGAGGCGGAGCTTGCAGTGAGCCGAGACTACGCCACTGCACTCCAGTCTGGGGGACAGAGTGAGACTCCATCTCCAAAAAAAAAAAAAAAAAAAAAAATCGTCCAGGTTGGGTATAGTGGCTCATGCCTGTGATCCCAACACTTTGGGAAGCCAAGGCAGGAGGACTGCTTAAGCCCAAGAGTTCAAGACCAGCCTCGGCAACATAGGGAGATGAAGTCTCTACAAAAAATTAAAAAAAAAAAAAAAATTGGCCGGGTGCAGTGTCTCATGCCTGTAATCCCAACATTTTGGGAGGCCCAGGTGGGCAGACCACAAGGTCAAGAGATCGAGACCATCCTGGCCAACACAGTGAAACCCTATCTCTACTAAAAATACAAAAAATTAGCTGGGTGTGGTGGCGGGCACCTGCAGTCCCAGCTATCAGGAGGCTGTGGCGGAAGAATCGCTTGAACCCGGGAGGTGGAGGTAGCAGCGAGCCGAGATCGAGCCACTGCACTGCACTCCAGCCTGGGCGACAGAGCAAGACTCCACCTCAAAAAAAAAAAAAAAAAAAAAAAAATTGGCCAGGCGCAGTGGCTCACACCTGTAATCCCAGCACTTTGGGAGGCCGAGGTGGGCGGATCACCTGAAGTCAGGAGTTTGAGACCAGCCTGGCCAACAGGGCGAAATCTCGTCTCTACTAAAAATACAAAATTAGCCAGGCGTGGTGGCATGCACCTGTAATCCCAGCTACTCGGGAGGCTGTGGGCAGGAGAGTTTCTTGAACTCGGGAGGCAGAGGTTATAGTGAGCCAAAATTGTGCCATTGCACTCCAGCCTGGGCAAAAAGAGTGAAACTCTGTATTTAAAAAAAAAAATAAAAATAATAAAAAATAAATATAAAAAATAAATAAATTAGCCAGGCATGGTAACATGCAACTGTAGTCCCAGCTACTTAGGGGGCTGAGGTGTAAGGATCCCTTTTACCTGGCAGGTTGAGGCTGCAATAAGCTGTGATCACACCACTACACCCCAGCCTAGGTAACAGAGTGAGAAATTAGACCCCTGTCTCAAAGAAACACACACACACAAAAAAACTTTCCTAATCACCACCTGTGAAAAGAAAGGGGACCTTGGGGGAACTACCTAATAAGCCAGACCCATACAGAAACCACTATCCACTTTAATCTGGTTTATGTTTTATTATAAATTGTGCTTATTCACTGGAATTATTAATTAACATACTGTCTATCCATCCTGTACAATAATTTCTCATCTATCCTCTAATATTTACCAAGTCTCTGTACGTAACAGGCACTGTTCTAGGGCACTGGAAAAAAATAAGTGAAATGTGTGCCTTCAAAGAGTTTACGGTTATTGGAGATTGAGGATGATCAAGAGAAAATTCCTTCCTCAGTTATCTTGTAGTCTACAAAGAAATGCAGGCAACTCAATGGACAACTATTAAAGCATGAAATAAATCCCTGTGAAGGAATATGTTGTGGGTACTATGGAAATAGTGGGAAGAAAAGTCTAACCTTATAATAGCATAACAAGGAAATCAAGTAGAGGAAATGCAGTTGAAAACTGGGTTTATGGGACAAATATAAGTTAATCTGAGGAATATGAGACTTCTAGATATACAGGGAATGGCAGGTAAAGCGAAGAGGTAAGAAAATTCATATAGAAGTGAGGGAATTACAGAGTCTATTATTAATGAACATAGAATTTAGGTGGCTAATGGAGAGAGAATGCTGTATACTACATTGTGTAATACAAGTTCTATTATTTATCCATTATTATTTCATCTATATTCACTTTATATAGCTTAAAAAGCTGAATGTTTCTATGAAATATTTCTTACAACTGCATGTGAATCTACAATTATCTCAAAATAAAAAGTTTAATTTTAAAAAGCTAGATGGGGATTTTTCAAAATAGATTAGGATTTCATTTTTAAGCATAATTTCAGTAAGAAAATGTAATCCTTTGATTTCATAACTCCAATAATTTTATAAGGGTAGAAAATTTGGGTAAGAAATTAATGCCAATAAAGAAACCCGAATTAACAATAGGAAAAGTACCGTGTTTATCTATTTTACAATGTGTTGATCCATTCAGGATCCTCTCCCAAAAAGAAGTTAGAGGAAAGCAATTTGAAATTGCTATTACTAGCAAAAAAATTTTTCTGAGTGGTTTGGGTGGCTAGAAACTATATGGTATAGTGGATATAATGAGCAGTTTATGTCAGTTTCAAATCCTGGATCTGCCACTTTCTTAACTTGCTAGGGGGTCTTTTAATTTAAAATTCGTGATAAAAATATTCTATTCTCTAAAAGTTTGTGCAAGAATATCAGATACAGGGATATACCCTAATAAAGTTAGTCCATGGCTCTATAGAGTGATTCACAGAGATTCCCAGCTCAACTGACATTTGTTCTAGATAATTGGCACTAAGTTTGGACATGTGCTTGGACCAGGTTTTGATTGTTTGGGAAGGCTAAGGGTGATCAATAAAGACTGTGTACATGTCCAAATGTAAAGATCTACACTATTACAATAAATACTGACTATCCCTAAGACAGATGGAGTACACCCAACCACATGAGATGGTTCCCTCCATATATCAAAATCAGTATCTTGCCCTAGCCTTCTGTATACAAAAGCATGGGTCTGAAGGGGAATGGTTGAACTTCTAGATGTTTTTGTTTGGTTGGCTGGCGTTTTGTTTTGTTTAAGACAGGGACTCGCTGTTTTACACAGGACGGAGGGCAGGAGTGCAGTCATGGCTCACCGCAGCCTCAAACTCCTGGGCTCAAGCAATTCTCCTGCCTCAGCCTCCTGAGTACCTAGGACCACAGACATGTGCCACCACACTTGACTAATTGTTCTGTTTTGTTTTGGTTTGGTTTGGTTTTTTAGAAGAGACGAGGTCTCTCTATGCTGCCCAGGCTTGTCTCAAACTCCTAAGCTCAAGTGACCCTCCTGCCTTGGCCTCCCAAAGTTGTGGGATTACAGGCATGAGTTACCATGCCTGGCCAGTTCTAGGTGTCTTAATGCAACCCTTACTCACTGGACAATACCATCTGCAACTGTGCACACCCCAGCAAGAATTCTGAGGCTGGGGACTATTCCTGATCTCTTTAGCTATGACACACTTTCATCTGTTCCATTTATGTTTTTAGTACTTTACTAAAGTAAAATTGACATAAACTGCATATATTTCAAGTATCCAATTTGATAAGATTTGACATATGTATATACCTGTGAAATCATCACTACCATCAAGATAATGAACATAAGCATGGCACACCTAACCCTTTGTAATCTCTACTTCTTGCGTCTCTCCTTCTCTTTCCTTCTTCCTTCATCCATCAAGGCTAGCAATGGATCTGCTTCCTGACTATACATTAGTTTGAATTTCCTACAATTTTATATAAATGAAATTATACAATAGGTACTCATGTTTATCTGGATTCTTTCACTGAGTATAATTATTTTCACATTCACCTGTGTTATAGTGTGTATCAATAGTGCACTGTTTTTTTACTACTTAGTAGTTTTTCATTACATGTATATGCCACACTGTTTATCCATGCACCTATTGATGGACATTTGGGTTGTTCCTAGTTTGGGGCTATTACAATTAAAGCTGTATGAGCATTTACATGCAAGTCTTTGTATAGACATATACTTTTCATTTCTCTTGGTTAAATATCTAGGAGTGAAATGGCTGGATCACATGTTACCTGCATATTTAACTTTTCAAGAAACTGCCAAAATACGTTTCAGAGTGATACTATCATTTTACATTACCACTAGCTATGTTTGAGAGTTTCAGTTACTCTCCACAGCTTTGCCAACACATGGCATGACAGCTTTTAATTTTAACCATTCTAACAGGGGTGTAATGGTATCTCATGTGGTTTTATTTGCATTTCTCTAATGACTAATGTTACTAATATCTTTTCGTGTGTATTTGTTTTTCATATATCTTCACTAATAAAGTGTATGTTCAAAACTCTTATGGATTTTTAACTGAGATGTTTACTTATAACTAAGTATGGAAAGTTAATTATACATTCTGAATACAAGTTTTTTCTCAGATAATTCCTTGAAGACATTTCTCAGTATGTGATTTGTCTTTTCATTCTCTTAATGTATGACCTTTGTGTCTTTCGAAGAGATTTTTAATTTTAATGAAAGTCCAAGTCAATGTGTTCTTTTATGGCTCATGCTTTTGGTGAAATCATAGACAAACCCAAGGTTACAGTGAAAATTCCTCTTAGGGCCCTGACCTGGTCCTTCCCTGGTACTTCCTGCAAATAACAAGCCAAGAAAAATTCATCTCATATAAAGATAAGTACTCAATCAATAAATAAAACAGCACAGAATCCATATAAAGCTAATACCAGAAAATAAGGAGAAAAATAAACTGGAAAAACAAATGGCTAAGGCAGAATAATTTAACATCAAGCAATAAATTACATTCAGACATGAAATTCGAGACAGCTATAAAAATGAATAAAGAAGCTCTTCATATACAGACACAGAACAGGCCCTAAAATCCATTATAAATTGAAAAAAGCAAAACAGCAGATACTTATCACATATCTAACACGGGGGGATATGCATGTATATTTATTTGTATATAAATAAAATAATTTTGAAAAATAAACAAGAGTCTTGATATATAGGTTGTCTCTAAGAAGGAGAACTGGGTAGATGAAGCACAACAGTCAGAGAAAGGCTCTTCACTGTATACTCTCTCATCTTCTGATTTTTCCGCCATGTAAATATATTACTTTTACAAAAAATTTTAAATCTCAAAAAACGATAGTTTTTTCAACAATTATTTCATTAGTGTGATGTAAGAAAGTGATTAAGTCACTGCTTTCTAAGACTAAAATGTATCTCTTAAGAAATACAATTTTTCATGAAAGAATGAAAATCTACTTAGCTATCCCCTAAAACTCAAGATCCTCTGGCTTCAAAAACGTATGCATCATTCTGTTACAATCTGGTAATAATATAATACAAAGTAAAATCTATTAACCAAGAAAAAATAAATTGAAGTGGGTAAGTCCATTTTCTGACAAAAGAAAGTAAATGTCATTATATAAAATATCAATAAATAATACTTGGTGAGTACTCAGTACAATCAGAAGCCATCTGAAGTGTTTTGCACATATTATCTCACAACCATCTGTTAAGTAAATGCTATATTATTACCATTTTACAAATGAGGAAACTAAGGGCAGAGAGGTAATTTGCCATGTCAAAAAGCAGATAAGCTGTGGAGACAGGAATAAAGTCAGTCTGACATCAAAGCCTGGGCTCCTAAGCATTAAGTCATATTGTTTGTCCTACACATTTCATTACACTAGGTACAATAAAGTTCTAAACAAATAGTCTTATATATACTTCAGTAATTCACATTTTATACATTTTAAGGTTCTTAGATTTTAAATTAATTCATGTAAATTTCCACGTACCTTTGAAAACAAGTGGACTTTATTTTAGACAGAATGCAATCCTAATGATGTAAATTAAAGCAATCAAACTCCTGATTTCATGAGTTTTGTGCTCTAATTACATAAATTTCTCTATTTCAGAAGTCAAATAAATGTATATGTAAAAAAGTGGGGCTTTTAGGTTTTCCTTTTTTTTTTTTTTTTTTTTTTTTTTTGAGACAGAGTCTCCCTCTGTCACCAGGCTGGAGTGCAGTGGCACAATCTTGGCTCACTGCAACCTCCGCCTCCCAGGTTCAAGCGATTCTTCTGCCTCAGCCTCCAAAGTAGCTGGGACTACAGGCGCACGCCACCACACCCAGGTAATTTTTGTATTTTTAGTAGAGACGGGGTTTCGCCATGTTGGCCAGGATGGTCTCGATCTCTTGACCTTGTGATCCACCCACCTCGACCTCCCAAAGTGCTGGGATTACAGGCGTGGGCCACTGAACCCAGCCCAAATGTGTGTTTTAAAATGTGCCTAGTTCATTTGTGTTAAATAGTTTGAAGGTAAAATTTTTAAATAAATAAAATGTGCAAGTTCCTTAGTAAGCAGATAGAAGAATAGAGCAGGAATATGATGAGAGCTAAATATAAAATTCTGTAAGGTGAAAAATACGTACATATTTATACAACAACTTTACCAATAAAGAGATTTCATTAGTAATTTCCAGATGCAATGGAAGAGATTTTTTACTATAACTTCTTTCCTCTGATTAAATTTGGCTAAATTTTTCCATTTGTATTTAGGTTGTTTTCAAAATCCATAAGAAAATTATCCTGATTTTTTAGAAAAAAAAAATTTCATTATTAGTATGGCAATGTACTAGAAGGTCAAGTATTTTTTTTTTAGCCATCTGTTCCCACTATGCAATCCACATCACTCATAAACAGAGGCAGTTTTACCCACGATGCCCTATAATTGAGGCACATAATCATATCAGCTGCCTAACTATGCCAAGCACGCCTGCTATGCAAACAGCTCTTCTTTCTCTGAATTAATTATGACTACTGGACCAATTTAATACAGTGCTTCTCCACCATTACCTTTGCCAACTGTGACAGCTGTGGTAAGAAAGTCTACAAGGCATACACTGCTGCTCACAGCCTACTCTCAATTGTGGCTATGCAAAACATCTCTGAATAATGTACTCCTCTGAAAGAATGCAAGCAATTAGAGGCTTAAACACCAGCAGTCTCATAACATAGCTCACTAGAAGTTACAGTAATTGATATATATAAACACAAAGTCATTTCACTTTATTAGATGCTTTCAGATATGAATGCAACACAGTCATACACAGTCTATAAGATACACTGAATGACAGCACTAATATTTAATAAATAAATGAAATGTATTACAAACCTTTACTAACAGAATGGTTGAAATAATGAGGATAACTAAGAAACTACTAGTGACTGAATTAAGAACAAACTGCCTTTCGGTCTCTTAGCCTCAAACATCCAGAAAGAAAACCCACAAACTTTTATACAAGCAAGAAAATAAAATAATCTAGCTCAATGCTACTAAAATATATCACGTAAGTTATATGTGTAATGTTAAATTTTCTAACAGCCATATTTAAAGGAGTAAAAAAGGTGAAATTATTTTAATAATATTTTATTTAACCTAACAGATCCAAAATAAAATATTTTAACATGTAATCATTACAGATTATTAGTAAGAGATTTTATTTTTCTTTTCCAAATAATCTTTGATATCCAGTGTGTATTTTATCTATACAGAGCATTTTCATTAGGAAGCTCAATTTTAATCAAAAATATTTAATCTATATTTAGATTTTATCAAATACAGTTGAAAAAAGTAGTTCACATATCTAAGTTGTGACAAGCATACCTCAAATTTTACAATAAGATAATCATGTAAACACCTTCAAATAAATACTTTCCTTTAATATTCACAAACACATTGACAAAATTGGTTCATCTTTTTAAAATCACCAATTTAACTCAGAAGCAAAAGTATATCGGTTTAAAAACTATGCCTGTTCACAGTAAGTAAACTCACTAAAACCATAATGAGGTATGACAGAAATTGTTCTACATCTTTACTGAGGATTCTACATTTTAATTGTTGTGATGGTTACATGAAATGTATATTTGACAAAAAACATTCTACATTTTAAATAAATTCATTTTATTTTATATAAATTATACTTAAATTAATTTGAAATACCATTTCTCACCTGTCCAATCGACAAAAAACATTCAAAATCTTAACAACAAATTTGTGGGAAAGGCTGCTGGGAAATACACATTGTCATAAAATGGCAGAAAATCAATGGAAGGAAATTGTATAGTATTTAACAAAACTACATATGTATTTTCCATCTGATCCTACTTCTAGGAGGTAAAAAAAAACCCAGCTCCATAAATATGAAACAACATATGTACAAACATTATTCAATGCAGCATTATTTGTCAGGGCAAACATTAGAAACAATCTAAACACATTTCTATGGAAACTGGTTGAATAACTGTAGTTTATCCACTTACAGAATGTAAGAAAGAATACAGAGGCTATAAAAAGAATAAGGAAGATCTCTGAACAGATATGGGAGTGGTTACTAGGAAAATATTGTTAAGTTAAAAATATATATATATATACGCAAAGGAATATATACAGTACTGTACTTCTATATAAAAAAAAGTGGAAATGAAAGGCCAAGCGTGGTGGCTCATGCCTGTAATCCCAGCACTTTGGGAGGCCAAGGCGAGCCAATGCTTAAGATCAGGAGTTCGAGACTAGCCTCGCCAACATGGTGAAACCCTGTCTCTACTAAAAATACAAAAATTAGTATGCTCCTGTGGTCCAACTACTTGGGAGGCTGAGGCACGAGAATCGCTTGAACCTGGGAAGTGGAGGTTGCAGTGAGCTGAGATCGCACCACTGCACTCTAGCCTGGGCAACACACTAAGACACAGTCTCAAAAAAAAAAAAAAAAAAAAGTGGAAATGAGACTATAAATGTATACGTGTGTGTGTGTGTATCTGCTAGTTTTCTGAAAAATGCAATAGAGGAAAAATAAACAAGAAGCCAATGAAATTGATTACCCATAGAGGATATGTGGAAATAAGAAAGAAGGGATATAGAAAGAAATGAGACTTCTGAGTATATATTTTTATAGTTTTTCAATTTTTGTAGATGTGATCAAATTAAAGATGTTCAGATGGGGAGATTATACTAGATTACATGAATGGTCCCAATCTAGTCACATGAGTCCTTAAAACCCTTCCCAGAACTTTTACCAGTTGGGTCAGAAAGAGGAGACTGAAAAAGGAGGAGAAAGCACGAAGGGAATCAACCCACCATTGCTGGCTTTAAAAATGAATGGAGAGGACCACAAGCCAAGGAGCACAGATAGCCTCTAGAATCCGGGAACAGCCATCAGCTGGACCCAGCAAGAAGACAGAAATCTCAGATCTACAAGCACAAAGAACTGAATTCTGCCAACAAGCCAAATGACAAGGGAACAGTTTCTATCTCAGATCCTCCATAAAGGAGCACCGTTGGTTAACAAACTGATTTTAGTCCAGTGAGAAGGGCAGAATAATAAATTTGTGCTGCACCAGGCACCCAGCCTGGGTGACAGAGGGAGACTCTGTCTCAAAAAAAAAAAAAAAAGGAAACTGACACAGGTTTCAAAAGTATCTATAATCCCCTATATAACATACCACCAGTGTCTTTCTTCTAGTCTTCATCATCTATGACTTAAACTCTGGCAAACTGCTCTGACTTCAATCCTGCTCTCTTCTAATCCACTTTTAAACTCTGATAGAAGAGCGACCCTTCTAAAATGTAAATCTGATTAGAAAAGGCCACTTCACTCTCTATCCATCCCCACCTGTAATTCAATATGTACAATCCCAATCCAACTCCTAGCAAGATTTTTGTTGGAAAACAAAAAACTGATTCTAAAATTTATACACAGAAATGCGGAATAAAAATACAAAACAATTTTGATCAAAAAAAGAGAAAGAATAGAGCTTAAGGGACATACTACCTGATTTCAACTATTCCCACAAAGCTACAATAATCATAGCAGTGTGGTATTGCTATTTAAAGACAGATATATAAATAAATAGAACAGGAAAAAGAACCCAAAAATATACTCACACATACTTGTTCAAGGTATTTTCAAAAAATGAAATCAAGGTATCCCTGATGAACACAAATGTAAAAAGTCTCAACAAAATACTAGCAAACAGAATTTAACAACACATTAAAAAGACCATTTACCATGATCAAGTGGGATTCATCCAAGGAATACAAGCATGTTCAACATATGCAAATCAATAAACATAATACATCACATTAACAGAACCAAGACCAAATGTTTCAACAGATGCTAAAAAAGATTTCAACAAAATTCAACATCCTTTCATGATAAAAACCCTCAACAAACCTGGTACAGAAAAAACATACCTCAACATCATAAGGGCCATATATCACAAAACCACAGCTATTATCACACTGAATGGGGGACAACTGAAAGCCTTTCCAGTAAGAACTGGAACAAGACAAGAAAGCACATTTACACCACCGTTATGCAACATAGTACTGAAAGTCCTGGCCAGAAAAATTAGGCAAAGGAAGAAATAAAGAACCTCCAAACTGAAAAGGAAAAAGTCAAGTCAAATTAGCCTTGTTTGCAGACTACATGTCCTTATATTTAAAAAAAATCTAAAGACTCCACAGAAAACACTTAGAATTGATACATTAAGTAAAGTTGCAAGATGGGTACAAAATCAACACGCAAAAATGATCAGCATTTCCATATACTAGCAGTGATCAACCTGAAAAAATCAAGAAAGCAATGCCATTTATAATAGCTACAAAGAAAAAAACACCGATGAATACATTTCATCAAGGATGTTACAGATCTATATAAGGAAACCTGTAAAACACTGAGGAAAGTAATTGAAGAGGACATACAAAAAAATGGAAAGATATCCCGTGCTCATGGATTGGAAGAATTAATATTGTCAAAATGACCATACTGCCCTAAGCAATCTTCAGATTCAATGCAATCCTTACCAAATACTAATGACATTCTTCACAGAAACAGAAAAAGGAAATCCTGCAATTCATATGGAACCACAAAAGATGGTGAATAGCTAAAGCAATTTTGAGCAAGAACAACAAAGCTGAAGGCATCACATTGTCTGATTCCAAATTACACTATAAAGCTATAGCAACCAAAATAGTATGGCACTAGCATAAAAGGACACATAGACCAGTGGAACAGAATACAGTACCCAGAAATAAGTCCACACACTTACTTACAGACAACTCCTTTTCAACAGAGGCACCAAGAACATACATTGGGGAAAGGGCAGTCTCTTTAATAAATGGTGATGGGAAAACTGGATATCCACATGCAGAAGGATAGAACTATTATATATCCCTATTTTTCACTATACTACCAAGCCTCAGTTCCTCATATAACATGGAACCATTAATAATACTCATTCAAACCACCTTACAATTTGTTTAAGGAATAAAATTATATAATTCATACAAAACTATTTTCTTTTCTAATATGCAGTAATATCCCATGAAGATGTCATTTGCTGCTATTAATACACAAAAATAAACATGATTACTGAATATAAAAAAATAATGGTTGAATAACATTCACTCAGGAGTCCTGAACATACTCAAATGTAAAATTATCAAACTATGAGCGAAAATGTGAAACAGCCACTGACAGGATTCAAGGATTTTTCATGTTATTCATAAAGGCGGCTCCAAGGGCTCTCAGGAACTACAAACCAGTGAATAAACAAGAAACACTTCTAATCACAGGTTGCAAAGTTTCCATATTAATAATTATTTCCAGTAATAAAAAGCAATAATATTTTCTACAAAGAGAATTCATGCTTCCATAGTTCTTCTGGAGAATAAAAATTATAGTACATCTGAGCCTGTAATACTACATGTAGGTCAGATTTTTCATTTTCAGATGAAAAACATGAGTCTGAAAAAGGTTAAGATAAAAACAACTAGAACATATACTCTCTGAGGAGGATAGAAAAAAAAAAACATTAATTCTCTTACAAACATAAGAGCCAAAAAAAGATGTAACATGTTAATAAAACCAGAGAAGGTATAGATAACATAAGCACAGAATTATTCAAAGAATGAAAAATAAATTCCTTAACACTTGAAAAAGATGGTTCAGGGACAAATTCTAAAAACTAACACAAAGTATTTATAAAATATGTGGCCGAATAGGGAGTTCATTACATCAATTAATACTGCTCAGAATAAAAATATGAGCTATTTCAGAAGTATAAGATTATTGAACAAATGATCTGCCTAGTCAGGGTAATCTGATTTTTTAAATGGCATTTCAGGGCTCTAATACTGGAGAGGCCACATGTAGGCATTCCAGTCAATGGACCCAGCTGAGTACAACCTTTCACCCATCCCTGCCAAAGTGCCAGGTATGTGCCTAAAGCTGTCTTGGATTCTCTTGCCCAGCCTAACCATTAGACGAAAACCACCAAGTAACCTCTATGGACATCAAATCAAACCATGACTAAACTCTTAACAAATTCATAAGATACAATTAAATGGTTGTTGCTTTAAGACAACATTTTGTGGGAGTTTGTTATGCAATATTTCAGGAGGACCCAAGACCACAGTCAGGTTTAGTGATTCTCTGGGACTCACAGAACTCAGTATATAGTGGAACTCACGGTTAATATTTATTACAGTGAAAGAATACAAAGCAAAATCAGCCAGGAGAAAACTCACATGGGACACAGCTCAGAGGAAACCAGGCACAAGTTTCCAAGTGTCTTCTCCCAGTGAAATCACATAAGATGTATTTACTTAAATCTTCCAGTACTGAATTGTAACATGTGTGAAGTGTTATCTACAACAGAAGCTCATTAGAGACAGAATGTCTCTAATTTGAGGTTTACTGGAGGTTAGTCACCTAGGCACCCTTTGCCTGGCATGTATCAAAATTTCAGACTCCCAGAAGAAAACTGGTGTTCATATACATAATTCTTTGCACAAATAGTTTAGGCACAGTGAGCCACTCCTATCACTTAGGAAAAGCTTTGTATCAGTGCAGGAAATTTTACCATTTACATTCTCAGATCCCAGACAAAGGTCAACCTTCTAAGCTTGTTTCCAAGGAGAGTAGCCTCCAACCTGCTATGTTAATTATTGTGTGCACATGCAGCAATAGATAACTGCAACAATAGCCACACATCAGTGTTAAAAACAATACAGACCAT